>NC_000011.10:4605454-4908484 GCF_000001405.40 Homo sapiens | reverse complement strand
GACTTTTTTTTCTATCCTGTTCAGTTATATTCTCAACTTTATTATAAATTCTGCACTACATAGCTTTTCACTTCCATCATCCAGTCCTTCATTAGTGACTTCTATGGCATTAAGCACATAGCAAATGACAGTAAATGCCTACTGGTTGATAATTTATTACCTAATTGTTCAAGTTCTTATCTCCCACATACATTAAGCAACTTCCCCAAGATCTTCTCCCAGATTTGTCGAGTCTTTACACAGTACACAATGGGGTTCATAAGGGGCGGCACCAACAAGAACATATCTGCAATAAGGATCACAACAAGAGGGCTTTTGTGCTTGGCAAAGTGATGCATGGCAGCCAGGGTGATGATGGGCACATAGAAGGTGAGCACAGCACAGATGTGGGAGACACAGGTATTTAGGGCCTTAAGCCTCTCTGCCAAAGATGCAATGCTGAGTATAGTCTTCAAGATCAGCACATAAGACAAAACAATCAGTGCCAAGTCCAGCATAGTACAGAGAGCAATGAAGAAGCCATAGATGACATTGGTCTTGTTGTCAGAGCAGGCCAGCTTCATGGTATCCTGATGAAGACAGTATGAGTGAGAAAGAAGATTCTTTTGACAATATTTTAATCTCCTTAAGGTGAAGGGAAATGGAATCACTAAGAGAATGCTCCTAATGGCTAAAATAAGTCCCATTTTAGCAACCCTGTTGCTAGTGAGGATAGAACTGTATCTTAAGGGATTGTGAATGGCAAGAAAGCGGTCCAAAGACATAATTAGAAGTACTGAGGATTCCATGACAGTGAATCCATGAATGAAGAATTCTTGAGCAAAGCAGGCATTAGGTGAAATTCCCATGGCATTGAACAAGAAGACCCTCAACATGGTAGGAAGGGAGGAGAGGGACAGGCCCATGTCAGAGACAGCCAACATGGCAAGGAAATAATACATGGGCTCATGAAGCGAGGGCTCTGTCTTTATAATAAAGAGAATGGTGCAGTTGCCCATGATGGCAAGCAGGTACATGAGGCAAATGGGGATGGAGAACCAAATGTGGGCATGTTCCAGTCCTGGGATCCCAATCAGAAGGAAAAGCTTGACTTCGGAGTTATTGAGAACAGACATAATGAGGGAGATATGAGCTCGTTAGCCGGATCTGAAACCATATAAATGAAAAGCAGTCATGCTTTTGGTTAAAACTCAGTTTTGTGAGGATAAGGGGTTCATTCGTATACTATACTCAAAGGCATATTTGGCTGCTAATCAACTGCACTCTTCAAAATTTACCAGAAGTCCTTAAACAAGTTCATATTCTCCAGCATGGTAAATTCACTTCTAACAACTTGTCCTAAGTTGGTGACTTTTTAGGATTTTTAGGATTTTTTTTTTTTTTTTTTTTAGAGGGAGTTTTGCTCTTGTTGCCCAGGCTGGAGTGCAATGGTGCGATCTCAGCTTGCTGCAACCTCCACCTCCCGCGATCAAGTGATTCTCCTGCCTCAGCCTCCCAAGTAGCTGGGATTACAGGTGTGCACCACCACCACCATGCGTAGCTAATTTTTGTATTCTTAGTAGAGATGGGTTTTCACCATGTTGGCCAGGCTGGTCTTGAACTCCTGACACAGGTGATCCACCTGCCTTGGCCTCCCAAAGTGCTGGGATTACAGGTGTGAGCCACTGCATCTGGCCCTACTTTTTAAGATGTTTAGCAAAATATATAAAACATATCAAAATGGAGCTGCTTTGAATCAGTAAAAAGATACTTAGAATCTTTTCCACTCATTTTTCCATACAGTCTTCAGCAGTACCCACGTTGGCTTTAAAATAAAATCTCTGAGCTTTATGTAGAAAGTTTGAAAGAAATAGTCTAAGAAAATAATCAGAGATCACTGCGAATATTTGGAAAACATTAAGTCATTAGATGCTATAAAGTAAATACATTTATAGACTAATTTACCTCTTATACTTATGAGGTAGGTACTTATGCACATTTTATACATGAGTAAATATACATGTTACATCAAGTGTTATATAAAAATAAACAACGATTTCTGTTCAAACACATTTGCCCTTTCATTTGATTTTAAATTATTTAACTTATTTGGGCGTTATTTTAAATCTGTAAAATGAATACAATCTTGGTAGGTTTTGATATTTATAGTTATTTATGAAGTTCCAAACAGAGATCTAGGTTCATAAACCACAAACAAGTATCTGTAAATATTAGCATTGATTACACAGTAGTTTCCAATAGAACATGTTGGAGAAATGGAGCAGTGGATAAGTACTTTGGAGTTACGTATTCTTATTTCTTCACGTACATATTCATGTATTAAATGTGGCACCTCCTCGCTTAAACACTTATGGTTCACACTTCAGGCTACCATTTTATTTCAAGAAACCATTTGAAGCTCTACAGTAGTATTGTGTTCATGTTAATCTTATCCATCTTGATTGGATTATTTAATCTTATATCTCTGTATTTAATTAGTCAGAGAAATTAGTCAAATAAATGCATATTTAGTCAAATAAATGCTAAATGAAAAAAATCCAAACCACCCAATTTCTGTTGGAAATGAAGCATTAAAATTTTGCCTACATAATAAACAGAACCTGATTTTATTTTAGAGTCTCTTTTAAAAAGCATACAAGTTTACTTTCAGAAGTAAAATATGCAATCTTGCAACTTATCATCAAGTTTTTGGCCTTCAAGGTAAACAGGTAAAAATTGGTAAAACTGTCAGAGAAACACAAATCTCTAAGACAATCATTATAAATTCCGCCTATATTTAATAAGCTTCCTTAGTAAATGCATAAATTAAAATTATGAAATTAATAATTTTAATTAAAAATAACAAAAATACAAAAGATGAAGGTAGAGCCAATGGAAGGCTAGAGAGAAGAAGACAAGCTATCCTCACTCCAGAATTTTTTAAACTTCAACTTGCAAGAGAAAAAAGTCATCAACCTTCAGTGGAAAACACAGGAGACACTGGAAATTGATTGAGCTCCTTTATATGGAAGCTTAACTGTGAATTCATACTGTATTTTGTGATTTTTTAGAGGATAATTGAAAAAAGTACATAGTAAATAACAAGCAGCCTTGGGCCAATATATTTTACTTTTGCTAGGTACTAAGAGACATTTTGGCAACTTGTGAATAGCTCTGCATCTTCTACATGGAAAAGGGCCTTGAACAGTTTGAGCATGACTCATTAATCTCCCACCATGGTAGTGAACCTAATGCAAAACCCAGGGTAAGTATAATGTGGAGACGGTAGCAGATTGTGAGATGTCATTAAAAGCATTCTCCTGTTATTTGCTGGACTGTGTTTTCTTAGCAAATTCAATTCTGATCCCATGTCAGTAGTCATAAAATAAGTTCTCACCTCTGAATGCACTTAACTCTTATTCCTTTTTATTTTCGTCTTTTGCTGAGGGATATTGACTCAGGTCTTTCAGGGAATGCATCTCTAGTGCATTTTTTATTGTGGAAGATTCTGCAGTGTTTTATAACGTACTACTTTCATGTAACCCTACCCTACCAAACTCCATTACTACCATGCACATTGACTACTCCATGTTAAAAGGTATAAAAAGGTTTTATTTATCCCCATGTATCTGTCATCAACATGACACGTGGAATATAAAAGGCTCTCAGCAAATATGTAAAGAATAAATGTGAATGGAAGAAATATAAAATATGTAGAATCATTTCTTAGCACTTTCTCCCTTTTTTTCTCTGGCAACAACTAAGGGATATTGATGTCCATTCTTTTCACTCATATTTTAAGCGGTAAAGTCATTCTTACACAGAGCATGCATTTGGATGTGGATGAACTTCAGAAGAGATAGCTCATCAAGGCTGTTTATTCAGAAGTACTGACATGATAGGTGGTATCTGAAACCAAAGAGTAAATGAAATCATACAGTAAAAATGTACATAATACAAAATTTAAAACTCATAGAACCCTGAGGAGCAGTAAGATTGTTGAGAGGATCTTGCAAAGGAATATTCAGAGAGGTGGAATATATGGAGGTAGAATATACAGAGAGGTGGAATATAGTAGATGCCAAAAGAAGAGAATGTTTCAAGGAAGGCAGTCCTCAGGTAAAATATTTCCCATACCACTTAGAATTGCTATTCTTTAAGGCAAAAATCAGTTCTCAAGCTAACGCACAAACACCTTGGTTTAAATCTCAGCATGGCAATTTACCCTGTGTGAATCTGGGAAAGCTGCTTAAGCAGTTGTTTGCTCTTCTGTGAAATGTGGTAAACAATGGTATCTACCTCAGAGTTATGTTAGGCTGTCTGATAGTCTCTAACACAATGAAGATAATCAGTAAATAGCAGAGATGAATAACTACTTCAATAAAACTTCCTTAGCCATTTTCCTTCCAGACATCAAGTCCTAGATTGGACAAGAGTAATTTATATTTTTTAATTGACAATAAGGCTTGCTTTTATTTGTCATATTATTAAGTAAATAAATCTCTACTGATATTAGGGCATTAGAAAAACACCCCGATATTTAACCTTCTTGTTTAACCGTCAGGGCATAATATATTCACTCTTCATGTATGCACACACACTGAAACCACTTACTCTTCCTCCCCATAGACATGTATTCAGATATAAGCAGTTTAACAAACCTTAGATTTAGGTTTCCAAAAGGATTTATAGCTCCTTAACCTTACCAGAACCAGATGCTCAGTAAGTTCCTGAAGGATAAAAACAAGAATTCTCCACTTTCACTTCCACTTTATCTAGAGGTACCTACTTCTCTTTTCCTCAGGTGACTAGACCCTTGAGAGTAATCAAGCTTACACAGAAAGGGTTAGGCCTGGGGCTGGTACATTACTTTGTATTCATTGTACCTTAACAGAAACTAGAGGCAAATTGTGAGACAAACTACAGGGAGACTACTCATCTGAAAGGTAAACATTTGAAGTTGAAGAAGCTTGACACATGGGATTTGTAGAGGTTGGAAAATATAGTTAAAATAACATGTTATCTATAATCAAAACACTTTATGTCCAATTCTAAGTCAAACCACTTAAACGTTCTTCATCTTAGCTTAATCATCCACAAAATGGAGATAGTAATCTATAAGTATCAAATATTTAGAAAAGCACTTTACAAACTATAAAATGGTTTACCAGTCATTCCACTTATTTGTATGATCCATTTTTGGCAAAATATTAACATTGAAATAGACATAGCCTGTCGTACTCTGTTAGATTTTTAAAGCAGTGTCTCAAAACTACATGCCTTCCACATTATATTGCATTCACTAGAACCGTCCGAGGAGTATCCTGCGTTTTATTCACATATTTCTATTTTATATGTCAGTTCCATCATGGTTTAAATTAAATAATAATTATTTAAGGCTATGAAACAATATAAAAATGTGAAGACAATTTAAGTAAAAATGTATAAAATAAGGATATATATATAACTGTTTTAAGTATTTCTTAAAGCATATTTCTAAGTTAAAAAGAAAAACTTTGGTTAAAATAATGGAAAGCCTTACATTAATAATAAAATAATTTTAATTAATACAATTTAATGGAATAATAATATAAAAGACACAACATGGCTCAAATACAAAATACATATATCTGTGAATAAGAAATGAATAGAAATTTAAAACAATGAGCAGGGATAAGCCCACTCATTGCTAGTTCCCATGTCTGGAGAAGACGATCAACTCCCATAAGATAAATGAGATTACATATTCTCCATGTTAAGTTATCTGAAGCAAATAGACTTATTAAATGTCATTGGGCTATTCTAGCAGATGCATTTGATACCCACCTTATTATCTTGGGACTTAACATTTTATTATAAGTTGCTAATTGGAAGAAAATATTTGCAAAAGACACAAGAATTCTTGAAACTCAATAAGAAAACAAACAACACAACTAAAAAGTGTGTCAAACAATAGCAAAGACATGAAACCAACCCAGGTGCCAACAGAAGGTTGGATAAAGAAAATGTGATACATGTACACCAGGGAATACTACACAGCCACAAAAAAAGAACAAAATCGTGTCCTCTGGAGCAACATGGATGCATCTGGAAGCCATTATCCTGAGCAAATTAACACAGCAACAGAAAACCAGATACTGTGTTCTTACTTGTAAGTGAGAAAAGATTCTAGAAAACAGATTGCCAATAAGAAATTCTAGAGTTGGATTCATCACTGTCTGCATCACAATAGGAACCACATCACTGGTTGCAGATGAAATGTTGATGGTCCCTGACATGCTGTAGCAAGTTATTGTTAAAATTTTCATCTGAAGTGAACTGTAATAGTACCCAGAGGAAAGGTAACTCACAAGATTTATTTATAAATAGAGCATTCTCTGTAAACTGGATTCTCTTACTGGCTACTTTTGTGTGTGTAACGAAAAGGGTCATGGAGGACTACTGTGGACTCCAATCTCAACCAAGTAGAAACATCAGTTTAAAGTTTTATGTCAGGTGCAGTGTTTTTACCAGGGAAGATTAAGATTAACCTGGATTCGATTATCAAGTATGTAGTATTTATGTGGCAAATATATTCTCTTCCATCTTCTATAATAAATCTATAATTTGAAAATACTTATTTTCTTTGGATATTTTGCATAATATTTTATTGACCCACTATATCAATGACAATATATTAATCAGGTAGACGAGCATGAAATGCAAGTATATTGGCATTCTTGTCAAAACACAGTGCTCTTTAGGTGGGAAAGGATAGAGATAAACACCCATACAAAAAAGTAGGAATCTTAAACATTAGAGAAGTTTTTAGGGATCCTGCGGTATAGGAAAAATTGCGACAGCCTCTCTCAGTTAATAGACAAACTAAAGCATTTTTTATCTTTTACCACCAAGAAGAAAGTACCACATGTAGTGACCTCCTGAAACCCCGGAGGCAGCATATGCCACACTTTGAGTGCTAATTCTACTCACATAACAGAAAGACGTATGCCCATGCTAAGACACAAGTAAGACCATCAAGCACAACTGAAAGAGCACAAAGAGGGGGCCGGGCATGGTGGCTCACACCTGTAATCCCAGCACTTTGGGAGGCCGAGGCAGGCGGATCACAAGGTCAGGAGATTGAGACCATCCCGGCAAACACTGTGAAACCCCGTCTCTACTAAAAATACAAAAAAATTAGCCAGGTGTGGTGGCAGGCACCTGTAGTCTCAGCTACTCAGGAGGCTGAGGCAGGAGAATGGCATGAACCCCGGGGGGCAGAGCTTGCAGTGAGCGGAGATCACGCCACTGCACTCCAGACTGGGCGACAGAGTGAGACTCCGTCTCAAAAAAAAAAAAAAAAAAAAAAAAAAAGCACAAAGAGGTGATGCGAAGTCCACTGATGTTAGTGCACTACTATTGCAATGTGGTGCACTTTCCCTAAGCTTACACTTGTAGCTACGTGGATGATCCCTTATGACCAGCTGGTGGGGGATGAAAGCCAAGTTAGTTCATAAATGAGTAAAGTTGGTATGCCAAAAATGAACTGTAGATGTGTTACTGATCCATTAAGGAGTGACTTTGAAAGATAGTACTTAGGAGAAATACATCCCACGGACAAATCAGCTGATGGACTCACTCATCCTCTTTGTATAAAAAAGAGGTGGTTCTATGTAAGAATACACAAAAATTCAACTTATTGTTAATGGTGGGTAACTTGGCTAATTGACCAGGCTGTTGGAAGGAGAAAGACTGGAATACTAGTGACAAAGAGGCAGAGGGATGAAGTGGCATGTGGATGGTTCTAGAAGTTAGAACAAAGTTTGAAGATCTTTATATAAAAGATCAATGTTCATCATAGTCTATACATAATGGAAAAGAACCTAAGCTATAAAGAACACTGAGTGGACCTGACAATTTATATCAGCTAGATTCTGATATAAGCAACCTCAGTGGTGGCATAATTGGCTCCTAATTGAAGTAGCTATAGTGGCAGGATGAAAACTGCATAAACACAAAGCATAGTTTCCCACTCAACAAGGCTGATAAAACTTCTCTTTCTACTAAATATTAACCTGGCAATGATAGAAAACAATGTTAACTGCCCAATGTAGCATCACTTCTTGAGTAGAAAATGGCCACTTAATGGAAGATTATTCTACCCCACAAAAGGCAGCAAATGAACTTGATAGAAATTGACACATATGATGGGTGTAGGTTTGTTTTATTTTCTTGAAGAGTCATAGCCAAACCTAGTATCTCAGGGCTTACAAAGGGTTTGATCCACCAGCATAGGACATTATGTTATATCACTTCATGAAAAGGGACACATTTTAGAATACTTGCAACAGTAGACACACAACCATGCTTGTATCATGGGCTACACCACTCAAAAGCTTCCAATCTGGTACAGAAATAGAACAGGTAGAGTTGAGTCTCCACCTTAGAGACGACATTAGTGAGGATGAGACAACATACCCCAGATGCGTCATGTACAACACACCAACAATCATTATACATAGCTTTGACTGCAATGATTAGAATAAATATATTTGGGAACAAAAGAGCTGAAATTAAGAGTAGTCCCACTTACCATCATTTTTGGTGACCTACTTGGAAAATTTGTGTTTCCTATTTCTGCAATTTATGTTCTGTTGAGCTAAAGGTCCTCATTTTCAGAGTGGGAGACATTGTGAGGATCTTTTAATTAATTTAAAAATAAAATAAATAAAATTTATGTTAAGCTCTTGCCTAATAACTTTGATCTTCTCTAAGCTCAAAAACAAGCTGGCAAGGAAAGAGGTCATTAGCCTGATGGGGTAATTAATTAATCCTTGATCATCAGGAAAAGATAGGGCTTCTAATAAACAATGAAGGAATGGAAGAATATGTTCAGTACCCAGATAGCTGACTGGTTGTCTCTTGGTACCATCCTGGCAAATTTTGATGATAAATTAGCAAGTGAAATAGCCTTAGCCTGAAAAGGTCATTCTATAGAGACATTTTTACCCTTTGAAAAAAGGATCTGGTTGCTCTACCATGAAAGAAACCTATGCAATAAATGTTGTAGTCTTTACTAAAGAAGAATTTAGAATGGATTATAGAGATGGCAGATGATAAGATCAGTTGAGGTTTCAAGAACAGCTTAAGTGATGTATGTTGTAGTTCGTTCACAAACTTTTCATGATCGTGTCTTCTTCTTGGGCAAATAGACAACACAAACATGAGAAGAGCTATTCCCAAATGAAGCAGTTGAATTTGAGTAATACAAGAGTAGACTGCAATAAATTATGCAGTGAATTTCTCTGTCAGCCTTTCTTCGGAACTAAGACATCAGCTCCCAGATTCCTGAATTTGGGGCTGCTATGGGAATACAGATAAGTCCTTTCCTGGAATTATTCTAATCAAAATGAACTTGTCTCATCCAGTTTATAACCCTTGTTGGTGAGCAGGCCACATTCAGTTACTGGTTAATGCAAGGGTACAGAGACTTTGCTTCAATTTAGGATAATCCTGAAGGGTTGTTCCAGTTCCAGATTTTTCTGTAGCACTGACAGAGGCCTCAATTGCTACTGCCTTGACTGTCAAATTATCTTTCTAACTAATAAAGCTTCCTTCACATTCTTACAGTTGTTTTTCTTGAAAGAACACACACACACACACACACACACACACACACACACACACACACAGAGAGAGAGAGAGAGAGAGAGATTTCTTAAATTTCTAATAAACTCTAATTTAAAGAGTAGATCCAGTGACTCCTGGAATAGATAGGTTTGGATTTCTTCATATGGAGGAGGTAAGTAAATGTCCCCTATATATTAAAAAACATACCTATGGACACTTTTGAGGAAGATAAATAATGCTAACAATAAAAATATTCTTTTAACATTATTTTTGTTACTATAACCCAGAGATTCAACATTCCTCATTAGAACGTGGAAAGATATTAAATACATTAATCCCCATAGAAACAATGAGAAAGTCCTGAAAAGAACAATTTTCTGCAGGACAGTAAAAGAATAGTAGGTACAAGAAAGACTTAAACTGAAACTCAGAGGAATGAGCCCTTTATGTTTGAGAAGAGAGCCACAGCAAACAACCCCAAACAGGATAAACACAAAGAAATTAACACATAGACACATTATAGTCAAATCCTGAAAACCAAAGAAAAAGAGAGAAATAATAAAATAAGAGGGGAAAAAGATATACAAGTAGAGAAATAATGGTTAGAATGACAGCCAATGTCTCATGAAAAACAATGTCATACTTAAAACAATAGAATTATCTTTTGAAAGTACTAAGAAAAAAATTGTCAACCTGGAATTCAAAATTTCTCAAAACTATTTTTCAAAAGGACAGTAAAATATATATGTTTGCAGAGAGACAAAGCCTAAGAAAATCCATAGCCATAAGACCTTCACACAATAAATGCTAAAGGAAAGTTTTAGGCAACATAAAATAATACAAGGAGGAAACTGGAATGAACAGAAAAGAATAAAAAATGACAAAGGGGTGAATATATGAGAAAATAGAAACTTTTTAAATTTATTATTTATATATAATATATAATATTTATTATTTAATTTTTATTTATTATTTCTATTTATTTTTATTTACTTAATTGCTGGAAAATTATTTACCATTTAAGAATTACAACATATAGAGAGGTTTGCAACACAGGTAGAAACATGTACTTAATAATTACATACAGGATAAATATGAGTTAAATGGAAGCACATTATTAAAAGCTTCTGCATTACATATGGTACAATATAATATTTGTTTATGGTAGACTATCTTAATAAGTTAAGGATTCGTACTCTAAGGATCAACTCTGTTTTGAAAAAAAAAATACAAACAAGTATAGCTAAGAAGCCAGTTGAGGAAATGAAGTAGAATACTGAAACATACTTGATTTTATTTGATTCACAGTTTCAAAATAAGTGAGAAAGCTATAACAAAGAAAAGAAAAAGATGGAGAAAATAAGTAAGACAAAGATAGTCATAAAAATAAATGTTTTGATATAATAGTATGACCCCAATTACAAAATAGCACTTGTCACAATGGATTAAAAATATAGGCCGGGCATGATGGCTTATGCCTGTAATCCCAACACTTTGGGAGACTGAGGCGGGCAAATCACGAGGTCAGGAGATGGAGACCATCCTGGCCAACATGGTGAAACCTTGTCTCTACTAAAAATACAAAAATTAGCTGGGCGTGGTGGCATGTGTCTGTAATCCCAGTTACTCAGGAGGCTGAGGCAGGAGAATTGCTTGAACCAGAGAGCTGGAGGTTGCAGTGAGCCGAGATCCTGCCGCTGCACTCCAGCCGGGCGACAGAGTGAGACTCCATCCAAAAAAAATAAACAAAAAATCAGCGTGTGTGTGTGTGTGTGTCTGTGTGTGTGTGTGTGTATACATATACTTTAAATATAAGGATAGGTCATGAGTAAAGGGATATAAAAAGATACATTATGCATATGAATATATATGGTCAGTGTGGCCATACTATTACTAGCAAAAATGGACTTTAAAGTAAGACATACTACCGGGGAAAAAGAGACATTTTGCAATGATGAAAGGTCAGTTCATCAAGAAGAAATAGCCATCTTAATGTATTTGCATGTAGTAGGAAAGTTTCAAAAGACACAACAAAGCAAGTAACAGAACTAAAATAAAAAAGAAAAAAGCATATTCAGATTTTGAGTTTTTAGCACTCCTCTTTTTTAATGTTACTTGTTTGCGTAAGTGGATAAAAATCCATTTAGCTATACACTTTGTGTTTATCCATCTTACCATGTGTAAATTATATTTTATTCATAAAAAAGGGAAAACACCTCGTTGATTGTAAGAAAAAAGAAGCAGCAGCAAAGAAACATAAACCTAAAATAATATATCGATTAATCTAGGGTTAAGTGATTTCTTGGTAGCCTCAACTGCTTTTCCTAATCTCTAAGTAGACTCTCTTTGATGTGTTTAGTTCAAAACTTTTAGTCCATCCCAGTCTGACCATAGCAATGCCTTGTGGGAACCAGTCAGTAAAAGCTGTGATCTGATCCTGACCCAGGGTCTCCTCTGGGAATTTTCAGGAACTGTTTCAAGGAAATCATTTGTTTACAGAGGGTGGCAGAGCTGGAGGGATTGGTGTCCCATGAGAGGAAAACTCAGAAGATAGATCAAGGAATCAGCGGTGTGTAGATAAAAGTCTTGGCAAGCAGACGTGGGGCACTGAGGCAGAGAAAGCGCTAGAATAAACTTATTTCTGTTTTTCTATGTAATTAAATGGTAAGTAAAATAGGACCATAACATAATATTGTCTTGTAATATGGCTTTATGTCCTCAAGTGTGTCTGAAATATGAGTGCTCTAAGAACTGAGATTTGGAAGGAACATAAATGAGGGTGGCTGTAATAGAAACTCCGAAATTTTGACATAGGAGGAACTTAGAGGTAAAAAACAAACAAACAATAAGGTTTCAATGGGAAGTGCAGGAAGCTTATCTTGGAGTTATCTTTGCCAGACAAGAGGAGACTTTCACTAAAACTTGGAGAAGTTGTGAAAATTTTAAAAGGCACTAAATCTCCTTGTACTTTTTCCCCAAGACGGGGTCTCACTGTGTCACTCAGCCTGGAGTGCAGTGGTGTGATCATAGCTTCCCCCAGATTAAAACTACTAGGCTTAAGTGACCCTCCTGAGTAGCTAGGACTATAGTCAGTCATGTGCCACCATGCCTGGATAACTATTTTTATTTTCTTGTAGAGATAGGGTCTCCCTATGTTGCCCAGGCTGATCTCAAATGCCTGGCCTCAAGTGATCCTCCCACCTTGTGCTACCAAAGGGCTGGGATTACAGGCATGAGCCACTGCATCCAGCCACTAAATCTTACAGCTATCCCTTGATGTTGGCACTATTCACTTCACTTCACCTATCTATTGTTCATCTCAGAAATCATGCAACTGTTTATTCACGGTTAGAGAAAATACTGGGTAGACTCAGAACTCTTTGTGGGATAGGGATTTGGAAATAGGATAACTCTGACAGCAGAACAAATGATCTGCCCCAGCAAAGAACAGAAAAGCAGACTTCACAGGGTCGGAAGTCAGTCCATAGATAACAGGATTCTAGCCACTAGACTGGAATCAGAGGTGGGGGCTTCAGATTTGGAAGAAAGAGCAGGTGAGATGACGTTATGGTTTCAAGTAATTATAAGAACTTTGGAACAGGGACCAGAGAACAATTTGGCATAATCGGGTTGTTGATGTATATAAAGAATTGTAATGATGTATATAAAGAATTTAAGACATCATCTAAGAAAAGCATCCTTAGATGATGCTGAATTTTAATACTTGTTAGTAGTAAAATCTGAAGCTTTCTTTACAAAATCAATTTAATTAAAAATATTTGAGTAAACTTTCTACATAAGGTACTGTACTTGGGGAAAATGCATTAGTCCCTTTTTAATTATAAATATGGCTAATGGGAGGTTTATTATGTTTTCAACTGATTAGGGCTTTGCCAACTCTACCTCTTATTCTCAAAGTAATTTTGCTATTTTACTATTTCCTGTTCATAAATTATGCCACAGAGCTCTATACACAAATATATATTTTCAAGTTTAAACAAGTGAAATGAACTGATTTGGAAAGCAGAAATATTTGAATATAAAAATAATCTAGCAAAAACTCTAGTCTAGCAAATAGTAATACTTCCCAATGTTTTCTTCTCACTCCTCTCTTAAAATTAGCTACCCTCTCTTCTTTCTCTCCTCAGCTTTATAAGGCTCCAGCTGTCTCTTACCTTCTTTACCTCCTGATCTGGCTTAGCAGGTATTGCCCTTGCTGTTTCAGAGTTGGTTCCATTTGCTGAGTTTTGCTACTACAATCATTATGGACATTTTTTCCTCTTACTTGATGTATTTTTTTCAGAAATGTGATAGAAATGACATTAATTGATTAAAATTGCTCTGGATGGGACTCTATAGGGCAATGAAACTGACATGTAATAAAGACCAAGGCTTCGGCCTTCCTTAACATTTATATTGCATACTGTGTCCTAATTTGTACATATCCTCAATTAGAATGCAATTTCCTTGCATTCTAAACATTTTAAATTATATTAATTAACATGAGATAGGAAGCAAGATATAGTTTAAAAAGCTCAGAATCAAAGTACATCTATTCAAATTGCATGTGTTCTTAACAATATCTGTTCTTTGAGAAATTAATCTCTCTATGCTTCAGTTTTCAAATCTGTAAATCAGGAATAATACTACCATGTGAAGACTGAATGAAATAGCAGATATAAAACATCTAGCATAATGCATTAAAAATTAATGCCTATCTCTCTGATTTTTCTGTTTTCTCTTTTAACCCACTCTACTTTTATGTCTACTTTCCCTACACCTTAGCATTTGGGGGTAAAATAAAGCACTTAATTAATTTTGTAACAACATATGCAAAGACTAATCAGCAATCTTAATAATTGTATGTTTATATTTTATGTATTTTGTATATTGCACTAACATTGAAATATTTTTAATATTTTGTAAAGGATATTACTTTGTTTTTTTTTTTATTTTTGTAGAGACAAGGTCTCCCTATATTGCCCAGGCTAGTCTCAAATCCCTGGACTCAAGTGATCATCCTGTCTCAGCTTCCCAAAACACTTACAGGTGTGATGGCTTACAGGTGTGAGCCATTGTGCCAACAAGATCTTTTAATAAGATACATTTTATAAATACAGAATTGATCTCATTATACCAAAAATATATTAATGTTGTCTTAAGATACATTATTTAGTCATTCTTTTTTAACTAAAAGTATTTAATGAAGGTCTACTATGTGGCAGAGGCACACAAAACAATATAGTGACAGAATTGGATTTTCCTTCTTACTGTAAACACTTAAATAGATAAGACTGCTTAAGAGAAATGAATCGGAACAAAAGGAAAGAGTATGACTGAGGCAGTGAGGGTGTTCAAAGCAGACCTTTCTGAGGACATGACTTTTGAAGAGTGACCCAAACATTTGTGGAAAGGGCATTTGAGCTGAGAAGAAAGCAGTATAGTGGTCCTGAGATGGAAACATGTTGGAATGTTTGAGAGGCTGCTAAAAGGAGTGTGGTTGTAGTATACTAAAGAGGTTTCTAGTGGTCTTCTCCTATTGGACCTTATTAGTTATGGTAAGAAGTATAGATTTTAATGTAAACATAAAGAGAAATATTGGAAGAATGAAGGATTTTATAATTAAATATTGTTTTATCATTTATTAACTTATTTTTATTTTGATAATTAAACCTTTAAACAGAAGTTTATTTGATCCATATTATATTTGATATAAAACATAAAATAATATGTAGTATGTATATTATACTACGTAGACCATTCTTGTATACAGACTGGGGAAAAAGAAGGGCATTAAACATGACTTTGACAATGGCATATAGAATGGAGTTGAGAACAAAGCCCAAGGTATCAAGAAGAAAGAGACAGGAATCAAGCAGAATTTCAAAATCTTCCAAAGCCGGATGGTTAAATCCAGGCTGGAAAAAGATTGACGTTAGCAGAAGAAAACATAAAATGCTATGTGAGTGAAAGGAATTAATCCTAATGTATTAAAATAGATGTTAAATTAATATTAATAATGAATCAACATGAGATTCATATTGGAACAGATCTGAACAGTTGAGTAACTAGAAGGCAAATACATCAATGTACTCTGCTCTCTGGGCTATAGGGAAGTGACAAAGATCATGCCAAAGCAAGACTCTTATATCCTCAAATCAGAGAACATCCTCATATAGAAATTATAGATAGTACTTTCTTTGAAAGAAGGAAAGAAGCTTCAGTCACTCACACAGAACAAAAATAATTCTCAAGATCAGTTTAGTCAAATGGAAATCAATTCAGTTTAATAAGATTTAATTAATAATGATTGGATGTGTGCTATTTGCCAAGAACTGTGCTTGGTGAAGAAAATATCAAGATCGGCCTGACACAAGCTGGGCTTCTAATGATTCTATTGGCTACTGTGGATGGCAGACACATAAATAGCAAATCACAGGACAATTGAGGTACTGCAACAGAGTTGCAATGCAAATTATAGTAGGGATACATGGACTCTGCTTGGAGTGATTAGAAGGGAAGACTTTAAGGGCCAAGACACTTCTGAGCTGACCTAATTGGAGTTGCTAAAGAATTAATGATACACTGTCCAAAAGGATCTCTGCATACTTTTTTTATGTGGACTTTAGGGGAGAGAGAGTGGCTGATATCCAGATTATGACAAAACAACTGCTTTATCCTTTTTGGAAGGTAGCCCAGGTCTTCTAGAAGAGGAATGACTCATGATAGTCTCATTCTGGAGGATAAACTAGTTGAAAAGTTTGTGGTTTTGTTCCTAACTGTCAAGAGTTCTTTTACAGTGCCCTAGCCTCTCAATAAAACTTTTTTTTTTAGGCCAAGGAGTAGAGATGGATATGCTTTATATGTCTTGCAGCCTCATTGTCTCTGATATGCTTAATGCTACAAAGCATATGAAAACTCTCAAATACATATAGTTGATTAAGTTGCCTATGAAAAAGCCCTGGATTTGTGGAAAAACTATTTACCTTATAATTCCAGGGAGAAAAAATGGTCCCAGGCAGTACCAACCCACTTCATCTGTGACATACTATGTCTCCAATCTTGCTATAGTTTAGTTGAGAGAGCCACTCTATAGCTGTGAAAGTGTATGTTGAGCTATAGAGAAAATCCAAGAATCTCTTCTTTCCTCCCATCCTCAAAGATGGAGAGCACCATTATGAATTGGTCATACATAAGGACATTGTAATCATTATCATACAAAAAGGTGGGGTTTTCACTATGCTATAGGAGAGGGTTAATAGTCAATCATACATGGCATTTGTTATGTCCTTACTTTGGACTGCTTCCTTTGAAGAGCTTGTGGGTAAAAACAGCTTTAGAAGCTCAGAGCCTGGTGATATGGTGTGGATATTTGTTCCAACCAAATCTCATGTTTAAATAAAATTCCCAATGTTGGAGATGGGGGTTGGTGGGAGGTGTTTAGGTCATGGGGACAGATCCCTCATGGCTTGGTACTGTCCTCTTGATAGTGAGTGGGATCTCACAAAATCTGATGGTTGAAAAGTATATGGTACCTCCCTTCCCCCTCTCACTTTGTTTTTGCCATGTGACATGCCTGTTTCTACTTCACCTTCTGTCATGAATAAAAGCTCCCTGAGGCCTCCCCAGAGCCCAACCAGATGGCAGTGCCATGCTAGAAGAGCCTGCAGAACCACGATCCAATTAAACCTCTTTTCTTTGTAAATTACCCAGCTTCAGGCATTTCTTATAGCAATGGGAGAACAGCCTGTCACACCTTGCCTGAACAAATGTTTGCAACAAATGACTAGAAATTGGAGAAACCACTAATTTTCTTCATTCTTCAAAACTAGTATCCACTTCCTGGGGTTTCCCAGTCCTTTTACTTTTATTATTATTATTATTATTATTATTATTATTATTATTATTATTATTCTGAGTTCATTCCAGATCAGGGAAGGGGGTCCTATAGTCCATTCTGACTCTATACAATTTGTCATTGAAATGGGGTAAGGTAAAGCCTAATAACACAAGAGGAATTTGTTTGAAAGTTACTGCTCTTTATGTGGGTAAGCCTTCTGAGGATTTAACAGGGATGTATGCAAGTACCCATATTTCTGGTTCCCTTTGTCAGTCAAGATCTGACTTTATTACAGTCTGTTTAGAAGTAATATCTCTCTTTTATTTCTTGAAATAAGTCTTTCACAATTCCATTTTCTTTATTTCATAGACAAACGTGCTGAAAGGAGGGAAATGAACACAGGAGATCCATACTGAGTGTCATTTCAGACCTGAGAATACTTTTCAATGGACTCATCATGCACCTTCCCAATTCTTCTGAAATTGCGATTACCACCTTCTTTCTGATTGGAATACCAGGGCTGGAGCATGCCCATATATGGATATCTGTCCCCATCTGCCTCATGTACTTGGTAGCCATCCTAGGCAATTGCACAATCCTCTTTGTTATCAGGACTGAGCCCTCACTCCATGCACCCATGTACTATTTCCTTTCCATGTTGGCTGTCTCTGATCTGGGCCTGTCCCTCTCCTACCTACCCACTATGCTGAGGATCTTTGTATTCAATGCCACAGGAATCTCCTCAAATGCTCGCTTTGCTCAAGAATTCTTTATTCATGGATTCACAGATATGGAGTCCTCAGTGCTTCTCGTCATGTCTTTTGACCGGTTTTGGCCATATGCCACCCTCTGAGGTACATATCTGAGGTACTGGTGAGCTGTATCCTCACCAGTGCCAGAGTTGCCAAAATGGGGCTGTTGTTTCTCATTAAAAGAGAAACAACACTAAACTCATTAAAAGAAACAACTAACTCATGCTGTTAGTACTCCCATTTCCTTTCACTCTTACAAGGTTGACATATTGTAGGAAAAGCCTACTCTCTCATTCCTATTGTCTCCATCAGGATGTCAGGAAGCTGGCCTGCTCCGACAACACTGTCAACTTCTTCTATGGTTTCTTTCTTGCCCTCTGTATGATGTCAGAAAGTGTGTTCATTACTGTGTCTTATGTGCTCATCCTGAAGACGATCATGGGAATTGGATCCCATAGGGAGCGGCTCAAGGCCCTCAACACCTGTGTCTCCCATATCTGTGCTGTGCTTATCTTCTATGCGCCCGTCATTGCTTTGGCATCCATGCACTGCTTTGGCATCCATGAACTGCTTTGGCAAGCACAGGTCCCCACTGGCCATGATCCTCATTGCTGATGTTTTCTTGCTAGTGCCACCTCTTATGAATCCCATTGTATATTGTGTGAAGACACAGCAAATTCATGAAAAAGTTTTAGGAAAACTGGGTCTACAACAACGGTGTCAGTAAACGTGGTACAAGATCAGGAGAGAAAATAATATCTTCCTAAGCAAAGTATTATCAATTATTTACCATTATTTGTCTTAATTATTCATACACAGTTGGCCTTTCTTACCCATAGGTTTCACATCTACGGATAAAAAATATTCAGAAAAAAAGTGTGATTGATTGCATCTGTACTGAACATGTAGATAATTTTTTGTTATTATTCCCTGAACAATACAGCATAACAACTATTTACACAGTATTTTTGTTGTATTTGGTATTATAAATATTCTAGAGATACTTTAAGGTATATGGGAGGATGTGTGTAGGTAAGATGCATATACTATGCCGTTTTATATGAGATTGAAGGTCCTCAGATTTTGGCATCCTTGGGGTCCTGGAAGCAATTTCCTATGGATAACAAGGGATGACTATAGTCAGTCCAGCATATAAGCTGTTTAAGTGTAGTGAGTGTCCTACTCCTGTGAGTGTAGGACTGACATGTATGTTGATAAGTGTGTATGTGACAGTTTTAGAATGTTACGGAAATCATGACTCAACACACTGATACAGCATTTTAGTTACACAGTTTATATGACAAGGATAAGTACATATGAAAGCAGGGATTGTACTCCCTTGCAGACAAGGAATACCAAGGAGCTGAAGATTAAAGGATATCACCCCAATCCAGTTGCTGGTTTCTTTCAGGTGACTTTCAGACACATGGTACTTGTTGAGGAGCATTCAGTCAAATTTTGTGTGAATAGTTGATTTCCCATTTAAGTGAAAGAAGTCTATTGTCAGCTATGAGTTGGTTAGCAATCCTCTCCCTTTGCACCTTCCTTAACAATGAAATAAGTAGAACCAGGAATTCTTTTGCCTTATCATTTTCACAGCCTTGAATTATGGCAATAAACTATCTCATAACATTCCTTAATAAAAACCAAATTTTTTTCTATGTTACGGCAAAGTTCCATAAGCCATGGTCAACTAAAAGAACAGAAGGATGATTGTGCTTTTGGTAAAAAATAGGAAAAAGTTTTTCAAAATACAGCATTTTTTAAAGCACTGATATTCTTGATTAGCTGTTCTAAAATATATGTTCTAAAATAATGGTTCTTAATGGTTGTTTAGGCATTTGATATTTTAAATTACTATCTAGTGTTTCGATTTCACTAGAAGCTTAGAAATAATGTTAAACTAGCATAAAATAACAATATAGTATTCAATATAACACAATATGCATTGTTATAGTTTCATATTTTTAAAAGAAAATAGCCAACTAAAGATGTTTGGTTACCTCAAATTTTTTCTGTAAAAATCATTTGTTTCTTGTCTATCTTTTACTTGTGAGTACTTAGTAGTAGACAAAGGTATAAAACATAAAATTTAGAATAAGTCAGACCTTAACAATTTTCTGCTATGAATTATTAGAAAACTATTATTAACATATTTCAATGTTTTACTGCCTAAGTTGAGCTCACAAGTAATTACTGTTATTTCTGTTTCAGAGAACCATTTTGAAGAAGGTTCAACTAGTCTTACATATTTTATATGGCAAAATATTCTTATATATTCTGTGTTCCCAGGTGAATTTAGGTGAGTCCTTATTGTCTGATAGTTGATCCTGACTAGATTCCCCACAGCCTCATGGGGAAGGGAGGGACAATCTTCCTTATCTCCTCCCAGACTGCATTATTCAAGTCTTTTTCTGTGACCTCAAACATTCTCCATTTATGTCATAATTATCAGTTGCATGTCTGTTTCTCTTAACTTGTATTTTGTTTCCTCAGAGGAATTGCATTAATGAAATTTATTGGCATGTCTCTAGCACTTGTACAGTGTATAAAAAATTGCATCTGACTAGTAGTCTAACTAACACATTTCCCAACTTGCTTTGAAAAACAAACCAAAACAACAACAAAAATGTCTTTAACAACTCAGAATATGTTGATAAATTACAAGCACATCAAACATCTGACGTATTAGGAAACCTATTGCCAAAAGAAGTAAGGAGTAACTATAAATTTCAAGTCAAAGAAGCTGTCCTGAAAAACAGTTCATGTTCTGTTCAAGAAAATGGAAACATATTTTCATGAAAGAAACAACAAAGTTTTTAGTTTTTCTCCTCAACTCAGAAATTCAAATCTGTACTTGATGGAAATGACTCAGGTCATAAAATGTCAATAAATGTTTCTGGATCAGAAGAGTCAGTAGGCTAAATATTGTTTGTTTCTCTCAATTATCCAACAGGTTTAATGTATTTGTAATTAAACTTCCAGTAACATTTCTTTTGTGATTACTAAAATAATTCTAAAAACAGAGATATAAGAGTAAACTGAAGAACATACAATAAAATAAATACATTACAAACTATAATAAAGCTTAATATAATAGTGAGATTTATTAAACAGCTGTAAAATTGTGCAGTTTACTCAACAAATCAATGAGAACAAAAAAATAGAATAATCACACTAATATATATCATATAAGATCTGAAAATGTAACATATAATCAAGAAATATCAGAACATTATATAAAATTGATTGAATAGTCAAATAATACAGGGAGGAATAATGAAAACCTATACAATATTTCATATTTGTGTGCATATGATTTTTATCACCCACAAAAAAATAAATTAAGAATTAAGTACAAAGATAATTTTAAAATCTACTGAAATATAAGCAAACAAATCACATATGGATGGGAAAAATTCTCTGATTAAATAACTACAATGTAACTACAATGGAAAAGTGAAAAGAAAAAAGCAACCCTGGAATTCTTGTGGAAGTTTACAAAGTCTCTTACAAATAATCCTTAAGGTTGTGGTTTTATTCTGAGTTTGCCAACAGGCTGTCTGTCAAAAATAAAGTCTTTTGACCTTAATCCTTGTTTGGGGTCAGATGATAGAAACTAAATATATCTTGGAATTCTTGCACTTTTTGAGTAATAGTTGTATTTTTTTCTTTTGATGAGGGTGGAACCAAAGATATATTTATTTGGCAGCAATATGAGAACAAACAGCAGTACATGTATTTATTGAAAAACAATTAGTTATCTGAATAACATTGGAGGTCAAAATTTAGAAGATAATGACAATAGAATGTACCCGGTGCTGACCAGGTACTAGGCATTGGGCTATATGTTTACCGGAATTAACAGTATTTACTTTTGCAAGAACCTGGGAAGGTAGAATTTATTACTTCCTCTTCTTCTCTGGGTTAGGAAGTTAAAGACTTACGAAGTTTAATGACTTTTCTAAGAATATAGAGCAATAAAGTGTTAGGAGCTTAAATCTCAGCCCAGGCAGTATGATTCCAGAGCCCACAACTTCAGCCACTACAGTTGGCCAACACAAGGAGACCAACAGTTATTTTGCCTCCTTCTAAATTTAATAATTTATATTTCTGGAAATCTATAAAGGTAATCAGAGATAGAATCAAATATATATTTATAAGAAAATATATCAAGGGTTACGGAAGTGTTAAGTAATAGGAAATAGTAGCAAAAACCATGACATGCAAAGATGATGACATGTTATTTACCAATGCAACACAGCATCAACAACTAAGTGGTGTTTGCTAAACCCTGTGTTGGTTGTTACATAAGACATAGGCCTACTATCATGGAGTTCAGATGGTGAAGAAAACAAGTAAATAAGTAATTAAACTAGCAAAGTATGGTAATTTTAATCATACACCTAAGAAAGCATATGTAAAGGAATGGCAACAGGCCTATTTTGATGGATAATGAAAGCAAAGCTTCCTAGAAGTAAAACCTAATATAAAATGTAACTTAATAGAGAATAATGAATAATAGCAGGTAAATATTTAAGACATACCTTTGCATGTAAACTATTATCTTAATTTATAAATGTATACATATGTATGCCCATGTGTTTGTTTATTAAAAAAAGATTAGGCTATATGCAGTCATGAGTTGCTTAATAAGGGGGATTTTTTTCTGAGAAATGCATCATTGCGTGACTATCATATAGCGTATTTACACAAACCTAGAGGGTATAGCCTACTACATACCTATGATATAGCCTATTGCTCCTAGACTACAAAACTGTGCAGCATTTTACTGTACTAAATACTGAGGTAACTGTAACACAATGCTACAGTTTTAGTTTTTGTATACAGTTAAGTATTTGTGTTTGTTTAAACATAGACAAGGCACAGCAAAAATACTAATATTATAGTCTTATGGGACTACTGTGGCATATGAGGCCCATTGTTGACTGAAAGGTCATTGTGGGGCATATGACTATATTATATAATCTCTCCATAGGATTGCAAATAATTGGTATTAGATTTTAAATTTTTTTTCTATTTCTCAACACATTCACACATTTTAATTATATATATGACACTCATAATCAGAAAAACTCCAAATATATAAAATACATTGCATAAAATAACAAAACACAAATTCGTAGCCTATTGACAATTACCATAGGGGTGGAGTATATTGTTGAAATTTTTTCTTTTTAAGTGAAAAGATTACATTTTTAGTCAGGTATAAAAACTACATTTTTGAGTAGTAGAAGATTAATACACACAGCAGACTGCTTTATGACTGCCATAAAACTGGAAGAAATATCACACATTTTCACAATTGTTCATCTAAAACCTCTGGAATTCAATTACATTTTATACTTTAAAGAGCCATATATCTCTTGAGGTATTACCCTGCATTCAAACACAGCAATATTTCTGAAGGGAAATGAGTGAAATAAATAAATTATGATCCAAAAATATGTTCACACAAGTTTCTATTAGGCTTTTTAGCCAATAAATTATGACACCAAACTTAAGAAAGAAAAAAAATACTGTTTTTCCAGATATTTGGAAACTTCTCCATTGCAAATAGAGGATTGTAGATCTGCCAAGGTGAACTTTTAGAAAAGTCTTCAAAAGAAGCAATCGTAAAGCCAGAGACATCTGAAATAACTGATGCAGAAAAGTTTGGATGGTTAGATTAGTGTGTGTTCTGGGACGTCTGCTCTGCCACAAGTTAATTTCAGGGTCAGAGACTCTGCCATAGTATGATACTCTCTAAGGGAAATTGTATGGCGTCAGATGTCTAGAAACTAGATATATCTTTGGCTTCTTGCACTTTTGAATAATAGTTGTATTTTTTTCCTTTTGATGAGGACAGAACCAAAGAGACATTTATTTGGCAGCAATATGAGAACAAAAACTTGAAAGGTAAAATACTGAACTGTGGTATAATAGAATACAAAGACTTCCCGCTGAGTGCACAAGGCAAAGAAACATTTTAGCTACAATGAGGGACTTGGAGTTTGAAAAACCGAATTTTACTTATAATTGCATACTTTATAGGACGGTCATTCACTTGTTTTTCCTCACCTAAAAAGTGTGTGAGTCCCGCCACACACTCTTATGTAATCTCAATTACCTGAGTATAATGCATGAAAGGAAACTCATGCAATTACTTTTAATTATAAATGATATGTGATTATTGTTGGTAAAGGGGATTGGAGCCCAAGCGAAGCAAAATCACAAAGTTGTCAGTGCTTGAGCTGAACAACATAGCTTGAAAGAAAACTGAGGTCAACAAACCAGATTGGGAGTGGTGTTCCCTATCTGCCAAGGAACAGGAAGTTTATATAAGGGGAGGAGAGAGGTGGCTCAAATCAGAGTAACTGCTTGGTCCACAATGCTCAGACATGAGTTATCCTAGGTAGGATGAAATTATCAAAACTGTGGAAAAAAATGTGAAGAATTATCTCCAGCACCCTAACAACCCTGTGCCTGAGTTTACTTCTTCACAAAACAAATATTGTTAATAAAGGCAATCTAGAAATTTCCTATTCAAAAGCATCAAAGCTACTGTGCAATTCTAGAGTGATGAGTATACCAGAAGGTAGAAGCAGTCAATAGCTAGGTAGAAAATTAACAACCCAAGAAACAAGAGCAAATAGAAAAAAGCTGCAGTTCTGAGAGTTAGCAATGGAGTAGCTATGGAATCAGGATTAGAACTATATTAGAATATATAGGCAATGAGAAAACAATGAAAGTCAATGTGTAATTTTATATATTGGATGGATTGGAGGTATATAAAGTACTAACTAAAACTGAAAAAATATCACTTCTATAAGAAGAAAAGGGATTAAAGAAAGATAGAGGTATAGGGAGTATATTTGTAAGGATACAGCACTCTCTAGAAGTGACACCAGGAACTGAAACCAATGTACAAGATTTTCCTAAAGTTTTTAATTATAACTTTCTACGTGTGTGCCTTTGTGCACATATGTAACTTTTCCTTTTACCAGCTCAAGTAACAACCTTCATTGCCTCACTGGAAATATCACCTCAGGGAAAAAAAAAAATTGTTCAGCTGGATGTGAAAATAAAATTTTAATTTACTTCTGGTCTAAAAATTACTGTCTTAAAGGAGATAAAGTTTTCCACTATATTAAAGTGACTAGTCTGCTTTTATATGCACAGGAGTCATGTCATTGTTTAAAATGGTTCAGGGACATATGCTCAATTAATTTGGTTTAAATTATGGTATTAAAAATTAAAAATAAAACTCTTTGATAAGCTCAGGGGAAAATTACTGTCTTCTTCCCACTCCTAAAATTCAATTGGAATTGACTCAGCAACCAAAACACCTGTGGATAAGACTGCCCCAAGTCCCTTTCTTTCCAAAGCATAATTCGTGTCCTGACAATTTCCTACCTTCAATCCCATCTTCCCCTAAGACCCCTCACATTAAAACCCCATGAACCCTTGGATTGGAGCAGCTGGAACATAGCCTGGCGGATTGTCTTGGTCTTCAAGCTGTAAATGATAGGGTTCAGCACAGGTGGTAAGAGCAGATAAATATTGGCCAAAGTGCTACAGAGCACCCTTGGGGTGGAGTGGAAGAGGCGGTGTGCCAAAGAGAGGCTGATCAGTGGCACATAGAAAATAGTGACTGCACAGATGTGACAGACACAAGTGCTGAGAGCTTTTTGTTGCTTCTTTCGGGCCACAATGCCCAGAACAGTACGGAGGATCAGGACATAGGAGAAAAGAATAAACAATACGTCAGTGCCATTCAGGTAGAGCTGAAGAAACAGTCCCCAAAAACTGCTGATCCAAGGTTTGGAATATGTGTATTTGATCACTTCTGGGTGGTAGCAAAATGGATGGGAAAGCTCGTGACCCCCATGAAAAGACACAGTGTTTATGGCTACAAGAAGGGGAAGTAAGAAAACTGCTGGTCTAATGCAGATGACCAGCCCTATCACCAGGACCATCCTGTCTGTGAGGATAGTAGCATAGTTCAGTGGGTTACAGATAGCCACGAAGCGGTCAAAGGCCATGGCTACCAGCACCGAGGACTCCAGCAAGGAGAAAGCATGCACAAAGAACATTTGAATGAAGCAAGCTTTAAAGCTGATCTCCCGGGCATGAAACCAGAGAACACCAAGCACAGTGGGAAGGGTCGTAATGGTCAGACATAGATCAACAGCTGCCAGCATGGAGAGGAAATAATACATGGGTTTGTGGAGTCTCCGCTTAGTAATGATGACAAGAAAGATCATACTGTTTCCCAAGAGGGCAATGGTGTAGAGACAGCAGACTGGAATGGAGATCCAGACATGAGCACATTCCAGCCCAGGGAATGCAGTGAGGAGGAAGTTTGAGGAAGACGAAGTGGTGTTATTGAATATTGCCATGGTTGGTTGAAGACACTGAACTATGAGGAAAGAAAAATAATTAAGATTCTTTATATATATAGCATACATTTTATTAGTCATTTTATATACAATTTTAAATTTAAGGTAGTTATTTTTCTTCTGTTTTAAAGAAAGGAAATGGACCCAGGAAGGTTAAATAGTATATCTAGGCTAAAATAGTTCAATACAGATTCAAATTCAAAACCAAATTTACTAACTCCAAAGTCTATTATTTTTTACTAAACTTCAGATGATCAGAGAGGCCAGGCTAATGAGACAATTTGGATAGCTGAATGTTGTAATTTCCTTCCTTTAAAATACAATTTTTTAATATCCTTTTATACTTGTATATGATGTACAGGAGGGGTAGAGATGAGAAATAAGCAAAATAGAGAACTATGTTCTCATGACTCATCTAAAGAAGAATGTTTGTGGAGTCCAAGTGTTTTTAAAATTATGTATAAAAGTCTACATATGTTTGTATTGTTTTTGTCTTCACGTGCAGATGAATGCAGAGGGCATTTGGGGGTGCAAAAGTAACTGAGCGATGAGATGCTTATAAAGCAGATATCAGTTATCCTCTGTTCTTGGAATGATATCTCATAAAGGCAAAGAAATGACACTGGATAATGCAAGGCGGTAAGAGGAGAGGAGACAGTGGTTCCGTTTGCTGCTGGGGAAATCTTTCCTGTGGAATGGAGACAGAAGAAGAAGCAGAGGGCTTTCTCTCTGTGAGGTCATACACTCTGGAGCCAGTGGTAGGTCAAAGTTCAGTGCCTAAATTTATCAAGGTTTTCTCAACATTGCTGGCTAACCAGAGCAATATATTAGTGCTTTCTCTCTTCAGGTACAAGTCTCCATCTGACTGGCCAGGAAGAAGGTAGCATCTGCCCATTCATATACAGAAGACCAGGTGAAATTATTTGAATAACACTCACTCAACTCAATAACAGAGTGACCCAAAGGTCAACATCCCTATTTTCTGGCATCAGTAATGTTACAGACCCATCCTCTTCATTTACCAACCCCTACCTTCTGTTAATTTGTTAACACTGAATTATATTTCCTCCACAATTCAGAATATACCCTGAAAGTTCCCTGACATATTAAGCTAAAACTACCCTCTGCTTCAATCTTTGCCCCACATTTTGCTTGGACCTTTCCCTTGGTGCTTAATAATGAGGCACAACTGATATTGGTAATTTATATATCCAAGTACTGTGTTCTTCTGCCAGAAGTTTGAGATTCTTGAAAGTTTGGGAATGCACGTTTTTAATCTCTCAATGCTAGTTACTAAAGCAGGATCAGGAAAAACAGAAATCTTCATTTAGCAACATTGATTGATTACCAAACAATTATGGCCACAGAAAGGGAGTTTTGAGTCCTATCGTCTTTTGCCTTTTTCTCTTCTTTCTCCTCCTGTCTTCTCTCTCCCATCTCAATTTCTTCCAGTATCTGTTACACCCCTCCCTTTCTTCATCCCATCTTACTTGTAGTTCCCATCAATTTATTGCTTTATCTTCTTCCTCTCCTTATCTTACCATCCCTCATTTTTAAAAAACTCCCCCTGCCCCACTTCAGTTTTTTTCTCCACGTTTGCACTCCCGTCTTACCTGGTCACATCAGCAGGAAACACCACCAACTTCTCTTCAGTCCCATAACAGAGCAGGGACTAAACCAGCTTCCAAAAGCGAGGGCTTTATAGGCAGCCTAGTAGAGTCCCCAGGCAATGGGGAGCATTCTTGATTAGTAAGCATTCTGGTTGGAGTGAGTGATGGAACCCATCAGCAACTCAGACACATCTCCGAGACTTACCCCCAAACCCTGCTCCCAGGCCCAAGCAAATCCCATCCATCAAGGGCTGGGAGAAGAGCCCTAGCCCTGGAGGCAGACAGTAATAGATATCTGCTAAGACTGCCTGCCTGGGTCAAATAACTATAACCATTCCTCTTTACCCAGCCTTAGGCTAAGGAATCTCAGCCAGGAAGGCTCCCTGAATGTCAGAGCTGGATTAGGAGAGCAGAAAGAGTCATCCCATTGTTCTCTGTTTTCAATATATCCTCTTCCTAAGAGGTCTCATTACTCTCCTGGCCATTCCTACATCCCTCCTCTTACACAGGAACTCCTCCTAAGAACCCTTCCGATTCAAGTCATATCTGGAGCCATCTACCTTCTACGCATAAGTAACTTAACATTTGATGAACACATAATATGCTTCAGAAACTATATCTTTCAAACGCATTGTCTTAATCAACCTTATGAGTTAAGTATTATTACCTATTATTTCACAGCTGAGGAAATTGAAGTTCAGAGAGATTTTTTAATAACTTCGCTGTCTAAAAGTTAGCAAGTTGCAGAAATGGTACTCAAGCCTATTTCAGAAATGGTACTCAAAATTTTGAAATAAGTCTTATTTCAAAGCTTTCCATCTTAACCATCATGCTATACTACCTTCTAATGTCAACTGTTTCCACTCATATCTTCAGGAACTATGGTTTAAATTCATTGTCCTTAATCTGTCGATTTCATAGATTGATTCCCAACTGTGTGCCCACATATGGTTTAAGCTTCATTTAGACTGGAATCCAACTATTCACAGTAGACAGTCAATTAATAATCCTGATTATATCTAATCTACCCTGGCTTTTTGTACTTTCCCCTGTCTTGAGACAGAATCTCTCTGTGTCACTGAGGCTGGAGTGCAGTGGCACGATATCGTGTCACTGCAACTTCCACCTCCTGGGTTCAAGCAATTCTCCTGCCTCAGCCTCCCCAGTATCTGGGATTACAAGTGCCTGCCACCATGCCTGGCTAATTTTTGTATTTTTAGTAAACATGGGGTTTCATCATGTTGGCCAGGCTGGTCTCAAACTCCTAACCACATGATCCACCCGCCTCGGCTTCCCAAAATGCTGGGATTACAGGTGTAAGCCACCGCGCCCGGCCCTTTTTGTTTCTTGAAACATTTTCCAAATATATTCTCACTATATACGTATGAGTCACACTGAGCAAAGGTGCTTATCCCAGTGAGTATCAAGGAAGATCAAGTAACTTTATAAAGTTACACATCAGGTAATGCTCAGATGCATAAGTAAACACCACCCTCTTTCCCTGGTTCCTATCAGTGAAGATGAGTGACTGAAAATTTCAGATAAGATTTATGAATATTAAATAAGAACAGAAAGAATAGGAAGTATTAAATCAATCTTAATAAAGTATAGTTTTCACTAATTCAAAAATATATATTAAGTGTCACCATATGGTCTAAACTACATTACACACTTGAGGTATGATGAAGTGGGATAAAAGGGTCCCTGTTCATATGGAGTATATATTAAGCACAAGTCAGAAAAGCCCTCTGAACAGAAGTGAGGCTGAGGTTGAGATCTAAAGCTTATATGAAATTTCTTATTTTTCCAACTCACTGAATGCACCATTTTCTCAAACTCTGCACATGCTATTTATTTTTAATATTTTTTCTGATTCCAACCCCTTAAATATGTATACCTTATGTTATAAAATATATAAATAAATACACAAATAAAGGCAAAAGAAAATAAATGTTCTATGTTCATCACTGAATACCAGAGTGATTCTAATGGACTAAGCAGTCCGGATAGATTTCTCAAAAAAGTTATTAAAAAATGACATACAACAGAAAACTACTCAACAATAAAAAGGAATAAACTACCAATACATGCAATAACATAGGTGAATCTCAAAAGCATTTTACTAAGAAGCTAGACACAAAAGACTGCATAATGCAAGGTTTCATTTGCATGCCACTCTGGAAAAACAATCATTATAGGGAAGGATTGCCAATCAATGCTTGCCAGTCAATGTTTGCCTTCTGTTGGGTGATAATAGAGTAGTTGACCACAGATGGGAAGCATAAAGAAATTTGGGGAAGTGATAAAATTGTTCTGTATCTTTGTTTCAGTGGTGGGAACACAACGCATTTGTCAAAACTTGTAAAACGATATACCAAAGTGAGTAAATTTTATTATACATAAATGTTTGAAAATTTATATACAATTTTAAAGTATAAATGTTTATGTTTTATCAAGCTAAAATAAATTATTGCTCTCATGAAAACCATTATGCAATTTCATATCACTACCCATTGTATTTGTACTATTTGATACGGCAGCTACTAGTTACATATGACTACTTAAATTTACATTTAAATCAATTAAAATTAAGTACATTTAAAATTCAGTTCCTCAGCTTGCACTAGCAAAATTTCAAGCAATTAATAGCCATGTACAGCTACTAGTTACTAAACAGCAGAGAAATAGAAAATATCCACTTCTGTGGGAATTTCTATTGGATAGTGCTGTATTTGATACTCTTCTCTAACTTGATTGCATTTACTTGGAAATAGTAGATGCCATTAAGGGCTAACCCTAGCCCCACAAAAGGCCTGGACAATCTGCTATCAGATCTGCTTGGTCCTAACACTGTACACAATGGGATTGAGCACAGGAGGGAGAAGCAGGTAGATATTGGCCATGAATGTGTGTATTAGTGGTGACAAATGCTTCCCATAGCGATGAATTAGGGTCATACCAATGAGAGGCACATAGAAAAGCAGCACTGCAGATATGAGAGAGACAGGTGTTGAGAGCCTTGAGCCTGTCTTCCTGGGAAGCAATGCTCAATACTGCCTGCAGGATTAGAATGTAAGAGGCCAAAAGTATTAAGGCATCTAGTACAATGATGAAGATCACAGCCAACAGGCCATAGATGCTATTGACACCAGTGTCAGCACAGGCAAGCCTCATGGCATCCTGATGGAGGCAGTATGCATGGGAGAGGACATTGGAGTGACAGAAAGGTAACCTTTTGATGAGAAAAGGCACAGGGAGCACAGCCCCCACACTCCGTAGCAGGATGGCTGCTGCAATCTTGCTGATGACACTGTGAGTGAGAATTGTAGCATAGTGCAAAGGAAAGCGGATGGCCACAAAGCGATCAAAGGCCATGGCCACCAGAACACCTGATTCCACTCCCCCAAATGTGTGGATGAAGAACATCTGGATAAGGCAGCCATTAAAAGTTATTGAACGCCAGTTGAACCAGTGAACACTGACCATGGTAGGCATGGAAGACAGTGAAAGGCTGAGGTCAGTGGCAGCTAACATGGCTAGAAAAATACATGGGCTCATGGAGACTTTGCTCAACTTTGATGACAACAAGGATGGTGACATTTCCCAAGATCGTGGTGCTATAAAGAAGACAGAGGGGCAAGGCCATCCATAAGTCTTTCTCTGGCATTCCTGGAATCCCAGTCAGGGTGAAGAAGCTCTGGTGGTTCTCAGTAGTTTGGTTGAGTGGTGACATGGTGGAATAGAGGTTTGAGTAGGAAAATAGAGAAGAGCTCATTAAGTCAAACTGACTTCAACTGGAATCAGTAACAATAAGTATTGAGATGGTAGCTGTAAGAGGAAGTAACTTAAATATTATTCTTGCACATTCATGCTCAGTTTGATACAGAAACCAGTAGCCCCTGCTTCATGAAGCGAGAATGCTGCTACTAACCATAAAATTTTAAAATATCTAGGAGAAAGAGAAACAAACAAAAAACCTCCAGTTAACATCTGCACCTACTAGGGACATATGCAATTCAGAAATATCAAGAAGTTACCTGTCTTGCAGACTGCAATACTAGGGAAGAATTTGACATTGTGTATTTACATGTATAATAAACACGAACACCAATAACCATGAAGAATATAACCACAGTCCTAATATAAGGGCTGTTCATAAACACAGATGTGCAGATATAAATGTGTGGATGTATGTGTGTGCATCTTGGTTGTGATCTTAAATTGTTTTGATTTTCATATGATTATTTCCCTCTTTAGTACTCAATTTATCAATCCCTTCCCTCTTTGGCACTCGTATGATGTAGGATGGAGGAGGAAAGACACACTTTAAGGAATTTAAAGCTCTGACCTTCTGTATTCCTAAGAGTCTGTGAGTACTAAAGGGATCTGAGCTTGCAGCAAGTGAGGGAGGAAGAAGTCACCTTGGCTCCCAAGGAACTTTAAAAAGACCTACTGTGGTAGGAAGAATAATACCCTTAAAGATGTCCTCATCCGTATCTTTGAAAACTATCAGCATGCTACTTTGCATGTCAAAAGGGAATTTTCATATATAGTTAAAGTTAAGAACCTTGAGATGTAGAGTTTATCCTGCATTGTGCAGGTAGGCCAAATCAAATCACAGGAGTACTTAGAAATGAATAACCTTTGTCACTGCAGAGAACCAGAAAGATGGCAGCTTGAGCAGGACTGGACATGAATTATTGACATTGAAGATGAAGGAAGGGAACCAGGAGACAAGGAATATTAGTGGCCTTTAGAAGATGGAAAAGGTAAGTGAACAGAATTTTCCCCTAAGTCTCCAGAAAATATTGCAGAAAAGAATGCCTTAAATCTTGGTTTTAGCCCAGTGAGACCCAATTTGGACTTCTGATCTAAAGAACTGTTAAAAATAAATATATATTATTTTAAGCCACTAAGTTTGTAGTAACTTCTTATGGCAGCAATAGAAAACAGATACCCAGGAGCCACAGAAGAGTTGCTTTAGTCCCTTTTCAGAAATATCCAGTCTTCCCATTGTCATTTTCATTTATTCAGGCCTTTTTCTTCAGTATGTTCTTCCATGCAATTAGATTTCTCTGTCCTAAGCTGCATCTAGAAAGGAATTTTGAGATTTACTTTTCTCTTCATTAGAGAGCAGAATGATCTCCAGTACTTCCAAAGAGTTTTACAACTAATATATGGCTCAGCCAGATTAAAGCCATCCATGGAGAATCTCCCAAAAGACAGATTCAATCATTGTTCAGGTTACTGAAGTCAGTGCCATGCGTGTTAAAACTCATCTTGACTTTTTTTCCTGTTTCTCCATAGAGAAGACCCATTCTTTTCCTTCCACGCTTCTATGTGGCTGTTCTAATAAATGTCATCTTGAGTTAGCAGCAACTACATTTCTCACTGTAACTCCAAGTAAGGCGTAGTTAAATCTATGGGGAATCACAGACATTAATGTCTACTATTTGCATGATAAAGATCAAGATTAAAATCTTGGTGCCACACAATCAATTCTCTTCCATTTCAATTTTTTGGTGTCATCTTAAGAACATTTATCCAAATGTGCAGCTGAGCTAATCACCTTTTCAGGCCAGTCTAGCCACAGCTGACAGAAGGTTTAGGACTAAAAGAAAGTAGTGCTATAGTGGCTCTGAACTTTGTATTTATCATAACCCTTCTGAGAATCTCAGAAAGGGTCTCCCAGTTAAGAATGCACACACACACACACACACACACCAACACACCACACACACATATACAAGCAAAGTTCTGCATAAAAATTAAGTGAATTCAGATATTTTTGAAAACCATCTATGGACCCAGGTTAAGAACTCTTTCTTTAAGAAATTATTTTAAATAAATGAAATAGGAGCCTTGGTCATAGAAAGGAGCAAAGCCACTAGACAAAATCCAGAGCTACACACAAAAGACAGAGAGCTCTGGATACTTGGGAATGAACAAGATGGAAAAAAGTCACTCCAAATTTGTCAGTCAGTAGTTTAGTGCAGTACTGTCCAATATGGTAGCCCCTAGACATATGCATTTATTTAAATTTAAATTTCTTAAATTAAATTACAATTTCACCTTACTTGTACTAGTCGTATTTTAAATGTTCAATAGCCACGTGTGACTAGTGCTACTGAACTGGATAAAATTGTTGTAGAATAGTTTCATCGCTGCAGAAAATTTTATTTGAAACTTCAACAATTGGAGCTGCAGACTGCAGACTTAAAAGGATACCAACACCCTCGCTGACTCTTGAAAAATAATGGGTCTGATTGGATTGAGGGTCTTTCACTTATATAATAAGTGTCTCTCTTTACCTATATCTCTGTCTCTCTTTACCTGTATCTCTCTGTCTTTGACTCTGTTTAGGAAATTTGAAAAGAAAATTCGCTTTAAAAATAAAGGCTCTGGGGTTTGAATCTTAGCTCTATGACCTTGAACAAGTTACTTAATAATCACTGCGCTTAATTCCTCGCTTCTTTAAAATAAAAATAATAGTACCTACCATAGGGTTGTTAAGAGTATGCATTTGGAATATTGATAGAGCACTTAGATAAGCACCAGGCAAATAATAAAGACTCAATAAAGTTCAGATATAATAAATGCCCATGTATTATCTAAAAACTTGGTAATGTTTGCTTGACTATAAAAATTATCTCTCAAAAGATTTGTCATGAAATCTATTTATGTAATTCTAAAGTTATGCACCTACTTTCATATATATTATTTATATATTTTGATCAAATTCTGTATTACCTAAATCTTTCTATCCCTCAGGCAGTTTATTGCAACATTTAATACCAATGGCCTGCCAGTAGTGGCTGTTGCAGGGTTCAAGACAGTGGATTTGGTGGATCTGTCTCAATGACTTTGCACTTTATCATTAATGCTTACTGTAAAGGATTTAGTGAAAGCAAGTCTCAGATAAACCAAAGATGAAGAGACGATATGCTACTAGAATTCACATGTAGTAAAAATCAGTAAGAAAAAGTAAAGAATAAGAAAATTGATTATGAGGGATGAGCAGCCTCAAAAGAAACACTACACTGGCAATCTAAGCACCTTAATCCAAGAGACCAGCACAGACCTTCCAGAATTTGGGACAAGGATAGTAAACGAGGCCCCTGATTCCTTAAGATCTCATGAACCAAGGAAAAGTTGATCATGTTTAATTAATTTATTGATTAATGACTTCAAATTTGTGAAGTTTCTACTAAGTACCAGATGTGTCATGAGTAATCAGAGGACAAAAAGAAGCATTTTTATTTTTCCTTCCAAGACCCTTTAGCAAAGAACACATGGAAAGCAAGATGAGACACATGAGTGTACTGTATAGCTGGAGTTGAATGAAGGCATGCTTTACAGGTGGGTCCGTATGTCCAGCTTGTCTCTTCAACTGGCTAGCTTAATTCTGTCTATCTAAATAATAGTGGTAGACCATGGAAAGAGTTGACCCTAAACTTTCCTCACAGCAATAGGACAGGAGCTTCTGTAGCTTCAGAAGTATATGTGGGGGTCAAGGTGGAGAAGGAGTGGCATTGAGAGTCCTTCCCTTCTATGTAGTATTGAACTTCACTTCCATACTCTTCCACCCAGGCAGAAGATGGAAAGAAAGGCTGCTCTCTGAGGAACAGGCATGAGCATACTATACTCTTAAAGGATCTGAGCTGCTGAGTAAAAGCTGGCCCTTTGGACTTGTTTCTTGTGGGATCCACAGACTAGTCTCACTAGGATAAGAAACTATCTGCTATTGACCTTGAGCTGGGGCTCAGAAGAAGGGGCTCAGGGGTGAGTGGGGGAGGGGGACAATGATCTATAAAGTTCTTGTTTTACTGACTAGTTTTTGGTAGAATCACATACTCCCCTTGCCCCTTAATTCCCACATCTACAGTTAGAAGTGTTAGTTCTATTTTAATGAAAAGGAGAAGGAAATGAAAAAGTAATGCTTGCTGAGCATTGTGATCATTCTAGACTCTTTATTGGTTTTAAAAAACACGAGCAATGTAAAAACCACAAGCAATATCCTTGTGTGTTATCTTAGATAGACAATAAAAGGAATAATGGGCAGACATTTTAAAAATATTTTAGTCCTTTAATAATAAACAATCTAATATTTATTGAGTGCTTGTTCATGTTCCAGGCTCTGTTCTTAGCCATTTACATGTCCTATCTCATTTAAAGATACAAAAACCTTAGTGGAAAAGCACTATTATTACTGCTATTGCATGCACTAGAAAAACAAGGGTCAGAGAAGTTAACTTGTACCAGATCCCAAAACTAAAGCTTAAATATAGGTTCTGTGATCATTGTGCTTTGAAGTTCTGTTTGGTTCTAAAGGAGAAGATCAACATTTAGTCACGGGGCAATTTCTGCCATTAAATTCAAATTACAGGTAAAAGGGTGAACTGGGCTCAACACGCAATCTCCTCCACCTCTACCACTCATTACTGACCTTTACATTTTTCTAAGAACTGTCCATACTGCAGTCTTTGCCGTTCTGTGACAAGATCCTCAAAGAAAGCACTTCTCAGGCCTCAGATTTTTCCCCAACTCACCCAAAGTATGGTCTAGGAGACAAGAGTCTTTTCTGATGCGTCAACCACAGCAGCACGGAGATTTAAAACCAACAGCACCCTTGCCCAGAATTTCCCCTGGAGTGATTCTATGGAGACTTGAGCATGTGACTTCCTGGAGATGCCCCCAGGACCAAAGGCTACACAGACCCAGGCTTCTGAGCATGCTAGTCTACTTTGTCTTATTCCCAGAGGACCCGGCTTTGCCTAATACAGATCTATGGTAGCAACCCATCCAAACGCAGAATTATTCTCAGTCCTATATGAACGTGCATCACTAACTATATTGAAATACGATTAAACCCTAGTGCTTAATTTTAATAATTCTCTGTCTAAAAAGAAAAAGCTGAAAGAAAAATTTACCCTTGTTTCACACGCCATTGTGTTATTGTCCCATTCTCTTTTCTGTTTCACAGCAAAGCCTCTCAACATTGCGGTCTACAATCCCTGTCGATACTTCCCATTGTCTCCTCAATTCACTTCAGTGAATGTTCTTTTTCACACCACTGAAACAGTATGTGCAGATGTCACCAATAATCTGCTTATTGCTAAACTTAGCAAAAATGTGTCCTCTTACTCTCCTGTTTGTTCTTCAGGATTCAATATAGTAGAATATTGCTGCAATGCTGAATTATTTTCCTTTGTTGGTTTCTCTCAAATCATGTTTGCTTGATGTTTCCTCCTACTTTAATTTATACTCTTTATTATTCTTTGATTATATGTCTTCTTCCTAGAGCACTAAATGTCAGTGTATCTTTTATTTGATCTTTTTTCCTCTACTTTAACTCCACTCTCTCACTTACCGATATCATCAAATACCACTGCTTTAAATATCATCTACATACTGATTAACTACAAGTGTATATCTTCAGGCTACAATACTGCCTTGATCTCCAGATCAGCTTCCTACTTGATAACTCCACTGTAATACAAATAGGAAACTGAAATTTAACATGGGAAATACTGTAAAATGAAAACAAAAATAAAACGTTTTCTTTTCATCTGCTTAAGGTTCATTTCAGTAAATCACTAACCACACCACAATTCACCCAGTTACCCAAACTAAAATTCAGGTCTTTTCTCCCTCTCTTCTTCATATCTAAGCCATCACCACGGTACTATTCAGTGATTCAGTGTGCCATTTTGATTTTTCTATTAACACATTATTAGCTATATTTTCAGTTATTTGTCTTAGTAATTATTCTAAGAATTATAAAATCCATCTTCACCTTATCACTCTCTACTTCACATTAATATTGTCTAAATCACAGTAAAATATTTCAACTTTTCCACACTGTAGCCCCATTTTCTTTTATCCTTTATGAAATTATTTTAATACATATTCTACCTACATGGTATAGACCATATAATTGAGTGTCATTATTTATTTAAACAACATGTTTTAAAAACATATTTTAAAGATAATACATTATTTACATAAGCAGTCTTTTCTATTACTCAATATCTATCATTTTCAGTGTTCTTTATTTCTTTTTTTATTATCATACTTTAAGTTCCAGGGTACAAGTGCACAACGAGCAGGTTTGTTACATATGTATACATGTGCCATGTCAGTGTGCTGCACCCATTAACTTGTCATTTACATTAGGTATATCTCCTAATGCTATCCCTCCCCAATCCCCCCATCCCACAACAGGCCCCAGTGTGTGATGTTCCCCAACCTGTGTCCAAGTGTTCTCATTGTTCAGTTCCCACCTATCAGTGAGAACATGTGGTGTTTGGTTTTCTGTCCTTGTGATAGTTTTCTCACAATGATGGTTTCCAGCTTCAACCATGTCACTACAAAGGACATGAACTCATCATTTTTTATGGCTGCATAGTATTCCCTGGTGTATATATATGTGCCACATTTTCTTAATCTAGTCTATCATTGATGGACATTTGGGTTGGTTCCAAGTCTTTGCTATTGTGAATAGTGCTGCAATAAACATAGGTGTGCATGTGTCTTTATAGCAGCATGATTTATAATCCTTTGGGTATATACCCAGTAATGGGATTGCTGGGTCAAATGGTATTTCTAGTTCTAGATCCATGAGGAATTGCCACACTGTCTTCCACAGTGGTTGAACCAGTTTACAGTCCCACCAACAGTGTAAAAGTGTTCCTATTTCTCCACATCCTCTCCAGCACCTGTTGTTTCCTGACTTTTTCATGATCGCCATTCTAACTGGTGTGAGATGGCATCTCACTGTGGTTTTGATTTGCATTTCTCTGATGGCCAGTGATGATGAGCATTTTTCCATGTGTCTGTTGGCTGCATAAACATCTTCTTTTGAGAAGTGTCTGTTCATATCCTTCGCCCACTTTTTGATGGGGCTGTTTTATTTTTTCTTGTAAATTTGTTTAAGTTCTTTGTAGATTCTGGATATTAGCCCTTTGTCAGATGGGTAGATTGTAAAAATTTTCTCCCATTCTGTAGGTTGCCTGTTCAGTCTGATGGTAGTTTCTTTTGCTGTGCAGAAGCTCTTTAGTTTAATTAGATCCCATTTGTCCATTTTGGCTTTTGTTGCCATTGCTTTTGGTGTTTTAGACATGATGTCCTTGCCCATGCCTATATCCTGAATGGTATTGCCTAGGTTTTCTTGTAGGATTTTTATGGTTTTAGGTCTAACATTTAAGTCTTTAATCCATCTTGAATTAATTTTTGTATAAGGTGTAAGGAAGGATCCAGTTTCAGCTTTCTACATATGGCTAGCCAGTTTTCCCAGCTCCATTTATTAAATAGGGAATCCTTTCCCCACTTCTTGTTTTTGTCAGGTTTGTCAAAGATCAGATGGTTGTAGATGTGTGGTATTATTTCTGAGGGCTCTGTTCTGTTCCATTGGTCTGTATCTCTGTTTTGGTACCAGCACCATGCTCTTCTGGTTACTGTAGCCTTCTAATATAGTTTGAAGTCAGGTAGCGTGATGCCTCCAGCTTTGTTCTTTTGGCTTAGTATTATCTTGGCAATGTGGGCTCTTTTTTGGTTCCATATGAACTTTAAAGTAGTTTTTTCCAATTCTGTGAAGAAAGTCATTGGTAGCTTTATGGAGATGGCATTGAATCTGTAAATTACGTTGGGCAGTGTGGCCATTTTCGTGATATCGATTCTTCCTATCAAAGAGCATGGAATGTTCTTCCATTTGTTTGTATCCTCTTTTATTTCCTTGAGCAGTGGTTTGTAGTTCTCTTGAAGAGGTCTTTCACATCCCTTGTAAGTTGGATTCCTAGGTATTTTATTCTCTTTGAAGCAGTTGTGAATGTGAGTTAACTCATGATTTGGCTCTCTGTTTGTCTGTTATTGGTGTATAGGAATGCTTGTGATTTTTGCACATTGATTTTGTATCCTGAGACTTTGCTGAAGTCGCTTCTCAGCTTAAGGAGATTTTGAGCTGAGACGATGGGGTTTTCTAAAGGTACAATCATGTCATCTGCAAACAGGGACAATTTGAGTTCCACTTTTCCTAACTGAATACCCTCCAGCACACCTGAGTGTGTGTTGTTCCCCCCATGTGTCCATGTGTTCTCATCATTCAGCTCCCACTTATAGGTAAGAACAAGTGGTATTTGTTTTCTTTTGTTTCTGGGATAGTTTGCTGAGGATAATGTCCTCCAGCTCCATCCATGTCCTTGGAAAGGACATGATTTCATTCCTTTTTATGGCTCCATAGTATTACATGGTATATCTATACCACATTTTCTTTATCCAGTCTATCAGTAATAGGTATTTAGGTTGACTTCATGTCTTTGCTATTGTGACTAGTGCTGCAATTAACACACACATGCATGTGCCTTTACAATAGAACAATTTTTATTCTTTTAGGTATATACCCAGTAATGGGATTTCTCGGTCAAATGGTATTTCTGCCTCTAGGTCTTTGAGGAAATGCCATAACTTCTTCCACAATGGTTGAACTAATTTATACTCCTACTAAGAGTGTAAAAGTGTTCCTTTTTCTTCAGAACCTTGCCAGCATCTGTTGTTTTTTGACTTTTTAGTAATAGCCATTCTGACTAGTGTAAGACAGCATCTCAGCTGCACATGGTGGCTCACATCTGTAATCACAGCACTTTGGGAGATCAAGGTGGGCAGATCATGAGGTCAGGAATTTGAGACCAGCTTAGCCAACATGGTGAAACCCCATCTCTACTAAAAATACAAAAATTAGCCAGACGTGATGGTGCATGCCTGTAATCCCAGCTACTCAGGAGGCTGAGGCAGGAGAATTGCTTGAACCTGGGAGGTGGAGGTTGCAGTGAGCCCAGATTGCATCACTGCACTCCAGCCTGGGCAACAGAGAGAGACTCCATCAAAAAAAAAAAAAAAAAAAAAAAGGACAGCATCTCATTGTGGTTTTGTAGTTCCCTAATGATCAGTGATGTTGAGCTTTTTGTCATATGTTTGTTGGTCACATGTACGTCTTCTTTTGAGACATGTCTGTTCATGTCCTTTGCCCACTTTTTAATGGGGTTGTTTGTTTTTTTCTTGTAAATTTGTTTAAGTTCCTTCTAGATACTTGATATTAGACCTTTGTCAGATGGATAGATTGTAAAAGTTTTCTCCTTTTCTGTATGTTGTCTATTTTCTCTGTTGATAGTTTCTTTTGCTGTGCAGAAGCTCTTTAGTTTAATTATTTCCCATTGGTCAGTTTTTGGTTTTGTTCCAATTGTTTTTGGCATCTTTGTCATGAAATCGTTCCTCATGCCTATGACCTGAATGGTATTGTCTAGGTTTTCTTCTGGGATTTTTAAATTTGGGGCTTTACATTTAAGTGTTTAGTCCATCTTGAGTTGATTTTTGTGTATGGTGTAAGGAAGGGGTCCAGTTTCAGTTTTCTGCCTATGGCCTGCCAGTTCCCCCAGCACCATTTATTAAATAGGGAATCATTTCCCCATTGCTTATTTTTGTCAGGTTTGTCAAAGATCAGATGGTTGTAGGTGTGTAATCTTCTTTCTGGGTTTTCTGTTCTTTCCCATTGGTCTATATTTCTGTTCTTGTACCTGTACCATGCTGTTTTGGTTACTGTAGCCTTGTAATATAGTTTGAAGTCAGGTGGCGTAATGCCTCCAATTTTGCTCTTTTTGCTTAAGATTGCCTTGGCTATTCAGGCTCTTTTTTGGTTCCATATGAATTTTAAAATAGTTTTTTATAATTCTGTGAAGAATGCCAATACTACTTTAATAGGAATGGCATTGAATCTATAAATTGCTTTGGACAGTATGACCATTTTCATGATATTGATTCTTCCTATCCATGAGCATTAAATGTTTTCTCATTTTCTTTTGTTTTCCTGTTTCCTTAAAAGTCTCATAGGTTTTTGTTATAAACAAGGTATCATGGATATAATAGAAACCTTAGATTCTTAATTGCTTTTAAGAGACTTGCTGTGTTTTTAAATTTTCTTTTGTTTATTTTTAGTAACTTGTATGAATTTAAACTGAAATTTATCTTCTCAAAATAAATCTCTTGCACTAAGTGTTGCCACTGATCATTTCAGATCACTTATATTTCACATTCTTACACTAAGTATAACCACTGATTACTTTCAGATCATTTTATTTGTATTCCACTTTTTTAGCCTGGCTTCCTAGGAATCGCCCATGAGTATACACATCTTGGTGGTATGCCAATATTGAGGCAGAAATAGCTGTTAAATCCCTTGAGTCAGAAACATTTTCACTGATTGATTTGAGTGGTGTGTGTAGCATACATTTAATATTCAACCAGTTGTCAAGTCTCTGTTTGTTTTCTCATGCCAGAAAGCTCTCTTGAGTTTCTCTCACATGTTTGAATAATTTATCATAAAGCCATAGATGCATGGAGAACCCTTCTGTAACAATAATTTCCAGGTTCTCCCTGTAAAATGTCCTGATGACTCCTGCTTGCAAACTCAGGCTACTAAAACTGTGGATGGCGCTTCTTTATTTCCTACTGAGTTTTCCAGTCTTAGTTGACCAAGCTTTGCTTTTTTCTTTCCACTTGAAGTCGAGTCTGCATTGTCTGGCAGCACAACTGCTGGTTTGTCAACAAATACCAGCCTGATAAAACTACTGGTACTACAACTACTACTCCTACTCCTGCTACTCCTCTGCGAAGAAGAACAAAAATAAGAAGAAGGAGGAGGAGGAGGAGGAGGAAGAAGAAGAATTTGGCAATGGTGGGAGAGTGGTATTTTTCCCTGAAGTTGTAAAGGTTTTCAAGAATGAATGTTTCTCAACATGTTGCCTGCTTTAGTTAGTTTTCACAGTGTTAATTTTTTAAATAGTTTTTTTGGTTCATATCTTCCCCCTTTTTGAGCAAAGAGGATTCATTCGTTCTACTTCAGAAGAAATTTCTCTTCCTAATAATTATTTTTCATGCTTTAGAGTGTTTTGCATTAAAATTAAGCAAAGAAATTAGACAAACACTGGCAATACACCTTTTTTCCTAATGTAAAAGAAAACCAGACCTCTGATGCTAGTAGAAATAATCAAGCAGAGGAAAAAATTAAGTGTGATAATCTGGAAGCAATTAAAGAATATGTGAGGCCTTTGGCAATTAATTTATAATTTTATTAATAAAGAAATTTAAAATGAGAATAGTCAAAATGGTTATGTGACTTCCACTAGGCCTATTTGATTGTATAAATGCTGATGGGAAGGAGGGGGAATAGCTGGAGCTCACCAGTAGAACTCAATTAATAATAGCTAACAAGGAATGCTGAATGAATGAGTGGTTAAATAACTTTCCCTAAGTCCAAAAAGCTGAAAAAATTAAAACTGTGAATTAAAACAAGGTATATAAGACTCACGAACTCTATTCTTTTTACCATATTTAACCATTTTAGATATGGATAGGAAGACTTTTGATGGATTAAGCTCCCGATAATAGGAAATTACTGGGATAATATAGGAGTCTTTCTGAAATTGATTCTAGTGGTGGCATCAGTTTCTGTAGACATGGAGGAGTCAAGGCCTGATATCTTCAGGGGAGTTCAAGTCACCAGTTTAACACTCAGGGGGGTTGCATCAAGCATTTTGTGTGTTTTTAGTTCTATCCCCAACAGTATTTCAGACAGAAGTATTCACAATTTCTTATTAAAAATATATTGGCACAAATTATAAAGCCCTAGCTTTTAATGTTTATAGCATGCATTGTCTCTTTTAGGTTGTAATACACAGTGGGAAAGAAATGGGTTTAGAAATTAAAAATAAATGAATAACCTTCGGCCATATGATGTCAATCATGCCTAAACTAAAGCATCACCACAATAATTGTTTATATCTGACTTTTGTTTTCTGCTGTGATTATGTGAATATGCTTGTGATGGAAAATAAATGAGATCAAAAGGGCATAAATATGTGATAGAAAGGGTCTGTGAACAGTTTAAGGCCTGACCACACAAAGGCACAGGCTCGAGTAACCAGCTGTTCCTGTATTTTTAAGAATTACCTCATTAATGCAAAACATCCTTACAGAGAAATACATTAAATCAAATGCAAGAAATTATACATGAGGTATTGGAATAACAATTCAGAAAACCAAAGAAGTTCAGCTAATTCAAAGATCTTTTTTTTATATGTTCCTGATGGGCGGAGTCCAGACAATCATTCTATCCGTTCCAAACAACAGTAGACTCCAGCTCTGTTTCATGTCAAATTGCAACACTGTCATCACTGAGACTGAGACTGGCTTTGGAGTCACTGAACTGAACTGAAATTGGGCTGGAATTGTAAGTCTTACTTAGTGATTAAACATGATTCAAATTAGTGTGTGTGCGTGCATACACATGCATTTGTGTGCACGTATGTGAGTTCACACCTAAGACTATGCAAATAAAATTAAAATGAAGAAAAGTTTTGCATAAGTGTTGGACATAATAGAAGACAGTCTGACAGATAAAGGAAATTTTTAGAATCCTTAGGGAAATTAGGAAGGGATAGCTCAAGTGGCACTACATAACACCGTTCATGGGAGTTCTTTCAGAGGTGTTGTGAAATCCTTGGAGAATCATGATGACACCAGACAACACCAGTGGTTTGAGCAGTCTTTATAAAGGCTCTACATGCTAGTCTCAGGAAAGGAAAGAAGCCAAATTAATTCTGAACCATAGCACCAGGTTGATGAAGGTAATAAATATCTTAAAAGATTTTTTCCATGTCCTCTGTATAGCAAGCTATGTGTAAGATAACTTAGGGCATTTTTTATTAAATCCTGATGAAATTCTACAGAGAAATGTTATAAGGACAGATGAGAATAGTGTATAGAGTGTCATGTGGTGGTAGAAAGCAAAGATGGAAAGAGAAAGTAAAATGCAGGTTTTGTTATTAGGAGTAAAAGAAGAAGACATATACTATGGGGAGGAGGTAGTGCAAGGCTAGGCATAAAATAAAGATGGAATGGAAGAATGCATAAGAATTTCATTGGGAGATAGAGAAAGGAAGGGTCTGAAAATTAAAGAAGATTAAAAGAAGGAAGATGAAGAATGGAGATAAGAATGAAAAATTAAAAAGAAGATGACAGTAGAACACTGATTCAGGTAATGAAAATCAGAGTCAAAAACAGTAAAACAGCAGGGGTAAACAAGAATCAACTATTTGCATGGAAGAACAGGGCTTCAGCAGGTTCTCAGAACTTAAGGAATGTTAAAGATTTTTCAAGTAGGTCCCAAGAAAAACCCCCAGTAGGGATGAACCAGCTGGTCATTTCCACCTGAAAGCCACAAGAATTGCTGGGGATACAGAACAGCAGGCCCAAACAAGTGAAGGCTCTCACTTGACATTTAAAGAAAAACAAAACCCCTCCTCAGAGTGCAGGCAGAAGGTTAGGCAGGCATCACAAAGTGCTTTGTTTAGATCTGACCATTGTCATTTCTGGGAGGGAGGGGCCCAAATTTTGTTAGAAAGATACAACACAACAAGTGTGAGTGGACTACACTACCTTTCAAAAATTCTTCTGTGTCTAAGATACTCAAATCTGTAAAATAACTTATTAGCAGTCATATTTTTCTAACAGAAAATCCTTATACTATAGCAGAGAAACAGGAGGCAGAAAAGGTAGGGAAACTACTTGTTCTTGCATGCCTGATCTCACCCCAACCTCAGAGCTCCCAGACCAGTTCTTGAGATGTTTTTCTCTTTTCTCACAAGTACCTAGGTGAGAACAAAGACACCATAGGACCTCTCACAGACTCCCAATTTAAGCTTTTGTCTCTGGCCTCTTAGAAAAATAAATTTTTCTCTTTGTTGAAGATTTTTAATTCATCTGCAGAAGATCAGAACAGAGTTTGAGGGATTCTAAGACTTCTCCTGAAAGATTGACATTCAATCATCCATATTCACCCATTCATTGTTTTATGTCTTCATTGCACTAATAGGGAAAAATTAATAAATGCCTTACATATGCTCAATGAGGTGATGAACCATAAAATAGTCCTTTACATCAGGAAGTTTTAACTTCTAGTAGGAGAGATGGACATTAAACAAATACGTACGCAATGTTTAGCTATACTCACTGGAAAGAAAGAAGAGCCCACAAATGTGAAAACAGCATATGTGGAAACCTTAAGCTACTATGGATATTTGGAATCGGCATAATTGGGAAGGATAGCTAGGCTTTGCTTAGGTAAAGGAGAGCTTCACTAGGGGTGAAGAAAAACATAAATATCTGGATATAATGCATGTAGAAATTCTACATCAGGAAGTATCTCACTGGGACCCAGGAACTTAAAGACGGCAAATTTGGCTGGATTAAAGAGACTGAAGGGGAGAGTAAATGGTGTGAGTTGGTGCTGCAGAGGTAGGTAGGGGTTGAATCTTGCTTTACGTTGAAGGCTAAGATAAGGATTTAGAGCTTTCTTCTAAGTACATTGGGAACCCTTAAAGGAGTTTTGCTTGAGATGAATAAATGAGATTTATATTTGTTTTAAAAAAGTCTATTCTAACTGCCAAATGAAGAATGTATTAGAAGGCGGCACTCATGGGTACAGAAAGATCAGTTAGGGAGCCTGAAGGAACTGGGCTAAGTATTATATTATACTTTATGTGTGGTTGTTTATGAGCCAATAACTTTTATCTTCTTCTACCTACCTTAAAATAAGACTATGGAAAATTATAAACTGTTGAAATTTCTGAAGATTAAATATTAATTTGAATAATTTCATCCAATAATGTGTCATTTGCATATGTAATTCATTAAAATTATCCTTACAACAGATATCCAGGATACATTCCCTCTCTCTATATATATATACATATATACATATATATACACACACACATATGAACATATTAGATTTTAAAAAGGCAAAAACTGCAATTACTTTTGCACCAACCTAATACATTTATGCGTATGTATATATATAGAGTACCTATCCTATCGTATATACACATATATGTAATATATATTGTATATACTTCTATTTATAGAAGCATATATGTATATACTTGGAAACTGTATGTATCTGCATGTATATGTATCTATATGTATAAACTTCTGTATAGATATATACTTCTATATGTATATACTTGGAAACTGTATGTATCTATATGTATATACTTCTAAATACATATATACTTCTATATGTATATACTTGGAAACTGTGTGTATCTATATGTATATGTATATACATATGGAAGTATATATGATATATATGGAAGTATATATGATATATATATATATATAATACCCTTATACACATGGATTTATGTGGATGTAGGTTGTGATGACAGTGGGATTGTATGTAGTTGTGGGTGTCTGGTGATGGTATTGTGAGGTTTTAATGGGGTTTTAAAAAATTATTTAGCAATATGCTCTATGTTATTAAGATCTTGGTTATGTCTACTTCTTTTCTGCTAAAACTTGAAAACTATATGAGGAGATATCAAAGGAGATATCAAAATTTTTTACTGTCTAAACACTGGATGTTTACTCTTGTTCCCATTTTTCAAATAAAGAAATTTATTCCAAGAGAAGGGAGGTAATCACATGTGACTGTGTAGGAAGGAAAAAGACACAGTGTTACAAATATCATCTAAATGTTTTTTAACTTTATTCTTTCCTCTGCTATTCTACTATGCATTCATAAAGCCATTGTTCTGTCCATATGAGAATATATATTCAATTTAGGAGCTGTGAGCCAAGTGGAGGAGTCCAGCCCCACCCGATGGTGAGAACAACATGACGAACTTGAATGCATCACAGGCCAACCACCGTAACTTCATTCTGACAGGTATCCCAGGAACGCCAGACAAGAACCCATGGTTGGCCTTTCCCCTGGGATTTCTCTACACACTCACACTCCTGGGAAATGGTACCATCCTAGCTGTCATCAAGGTGGAGCCAAGTCTCCATGAGCCCACGTATTACTTCCTTTCTATCTTGGCTCTCACTGACGTTAGTCTCTCCATGTCCACCTTGCCCTCCATGCTCAGCATCTACTGGTTTAATGCCCCTCAGATTGTTTTTGATGCATGCATCATGCAGATGTTCTTCATCCATGTATTTGGAATAGTAGAATCAGGAGTCCTAGTGTCCATGGCCTTTGACAGATTTGTGGCCATCCGAAACCCATTACACTATGTTTCCATCCTCACTCACGATGTTATTCGAAAGACTGGAATAGCTGTCCTCACCCGGGCAGTCTGTGTGGTATTCCCTGTGCCCTTCCTTATAAAGTGCCTACCCTTCTGCCATTCCAATGTCTTGTCTCATTCATACTGTCTTCACCAAAACATGATGCGGCTAGCTTGTGCCAGCACCCGCATCAACAGCCTCTACGGCCTCATCGTCGTCATCTTCACACTGGGGCTCGATGTTCTCCTCACTCTACTGTCTTATGTACTCACCCTGAAGACTGTGCTGGGCATTGTCTCCAGAGGTGAAAGGCTGAAAACCCTCAGCACATGCCTCTCTCACATGTCTACCGTGCTCCTCTTCTATGTTCCTTTTATGGGTGCTGCCTCCATGATCCACAGATTTTGGGAGCATTTATCACCAGTAGTGCACATGGTCATGGCTGATATATACCTACTGCTCCCGCCTGTGCTAAACCCCATTGTCTACAGTGTGAAGACCAAGCAAATTTGAAGAATGATCTTTCAAGTGTTCCAGAGGCAAAAAAAATAGGGTCTAGTAGAATGGAATCATGTGTAAGAAGCAGAGTAAGTATCCACTGGAAGAATTAATTATTTAATTTTCCACAGTTATGGTGCATCAAATTTTGCACATCTGGGGAAATGCAGGAGTGGGTAAGGCTTGTGGGTGAAGATACATAACAGGTCATTATTGTTCTGTATATACTATATTTTGGAATGTGTGTATTTTGAAATATGGTATCACAAAATCTAATTTATTAAGTAGCTTCACACTTTTCTATGACACGGGAGATGAGCATCAGTGAGAACAAATTATCACATTTATCCAGATAACACTAATGTATGTTTATTCATAAAATATTTAGTTATATTTCACCCTTGGTTATCATTTTGCTGTGCAGAAGCTCTTTAGTTTAATTAGATCCCATTTGTCCATTTTGGCTTTTGTTGCCATTGCTTTTGGTGTTTTAGTTATGAAGTCTTTGCCCACGCCTATGTCCTGAATGGAATTGCCTAGGTTTTATTCTAGGGTTTTTATGGTTTTAGTTCTAATATTTAAGTCTTTAATCCATCTTGAATTAATTTTTGCATAAGGTGTAAGGAGGGGATCCAGTTTCAGCTTTCTACATATGGCTAGCCAGTTTTCCCAGCTCCATTTATTAAATAGGGAATCTTTTCCCCATTTCTTGTTTTTGTCAGGTTTGTCAAAGATCAGATGGTTATAGATGTGTGGTATTAATTCTGAGGGCTCTGTTCTGTTCCGTTGGTCTAGATCTCTGTTTTGGTACCAGTACCATGCTGTTTTGGTTACTGTAGCCTTGTAGTATAGCTTGAAGTCAGGTAGCATGATGCCTCCAGCTTTGTTTTTTGGCTTAGGATTATCTTGGCAATGCGGGCTCTTTTTTGGTTCCATATGAACTTTAAAGTAGTTTTTTCCAATTTTGTGAAGAAAGCCATTGGTAGCTTGATGGGGATGGCATTGAATCTATAAATTACTTTGGGCAGTATGGCCATTTTTATGATATTAATTCTTCCCATCCATGAGCATGGAATGTTCTTCCATTTGTTTGTGTCCTCTTTTATTTTGTTGAGCAGTGGTTTGTAGTTCTCCTTGAAGAGGTCCTTCACATCCCTTGTAAGTTGGATTCCTAGGTATTTTATTCTCTTTGAAGCAGTTGTGAATGGGAATTCACTCATGATTTGGCTCTCTGTCTATTATTGGTGTATAGGAATGCTTGTGATTTTTGCACATTGATTTTGTATCCTGAGACTTTGCTGAAGCTGCTTATCAGCTTAAGGAGATTTTGGGCTGAGACGATGGGGTTTTCTAAATATGCAATCATGTCATCTGCAAACAGGGACAATTTGATTTCCTCTTTTCCTAATTGAATACCTTTTATTTCTTTCTCCTGCTTGATTGCCCTGGCCAGAACTTCCAATACTATGTTGAATAGGAGTGGTGTGAGAGGGCATCCCTGTCTTGTGCCAGTTTTCAAAGGGAATGCTTCCAGTTTTTGCCCATTCAGTATGATATTGACTCTGGGTCTGTCATAAATAGCTCTTATTATTTTGAGATACGTCCCATCGACACCTAGTTTATTGAGAGTTTTGAGCATGAAGGGCTGTTGAATTTTGTCGAAAGCCTTTTCTGCATCTATTGAGATAATCATGTGGTTTTTGTCTTTGGTTCTGTTTATATGATGGATTACGTTTATTGATTTGCATATGTCGAACCAGCCTTGCATCCCAGGGATGAAGCCAACATGATCGTGGCGGATAAGCTTTTTGATGTGCTGCTGGATTCGGTTTGCCAGTATTTTATTGAGTATTTTTGCATTGATGTTCATCAGGGATATTGGTCTGAAATTCTGTTTTTTTGTTGTGTCTCTGCCTGGCCTTGGTATCAGGATGATGCTGGCCTCATAAAATGATTTAGGGAGGATTCCCTCTTTTTCTATTGATTGGAATAGTTTCAGAAGGAATGGTACCAGCTCCTCCTTGTACCTCTGGTAGAATTCGGCTGTGAATCCCTCTGGTCCTGGACTTTTTTTGGTTGGTAGGCTATTAATTATTGCCTCAATTTCAGAGCCTGTTATTGGTCTATTCAGGGATTCAACTTCTTCCTGGTTTAGTCTTGGGAGAGAGTATGTGTCCAGGAATTTATCCATTTCTTCTAGATTTTCTAGTTTATTTGCACAGAGGTGTTTATAGTATTCTCTGATGGTAGTTTGTATCTCTGTGAGATTGGTGGTGATATCCCCTTTATCATTTTTATTGTGTCTATTTGATTCTTCTCTCTTTTCTTCTTTATTAGTCTTGCTAGCAGTCTATCAATTTTGTTAATCTTTTTAACAAACCAGCTCCTGGTTTCACTGATTTTTTTTTAAGGGTTTTTTTGTGTCTCTATCTCCTTCAATTCTGCTCTGATCTTAGTTATTTCTTGTCTTCTGCTAGCTTTTGAATGTGTTTGCTCTTCCTTCTCTAGTTCTTTTAATTGTGATGTTAGGGTGTCGATTTTAGATCTTTCCTGCTTTCTCTTGTGGGCATTTAGTGCTATAAATTTCCCTCTACACACTGCTTTAAATGTGTCCCAGAGATTCTGGTATGTTGTGTCTTTGTTCTCACTGGTTTCAAAGAACATCTTTATTTCTGCCTTCATTTTGTTATGTACCCAGTAGTCATTCAGGAGCAGGCTGTTCAGTTTCCATGTAGTTGTGCGGTTTTGAGTGAGTTTCTTAATCCTGAGTTCTAATTTGATTGAACTGTGGTCTGAGGGACAGTTTGTTATAGTTTCTGTTCTTTTACATTTGCTGAGGAGTGCTTTACTTCCAAGTATGTGGTCAATTTTGGAATAAGTGCGACGTGGTGCTGAGAAGAATGTGTATTCTGTTGATTTGGGGTGGAGAGTTCTGTAGATGTCTATTAGGTCTGCTTGGTGCAGAGCTGAGTTCAAGTCCTGGATATCCTTGTTAACCTTCTGTCTCATTGATCTGTCTAATGTTGACAGTGGGGTGTTAAACCCTCCCATTATTATTGTGTGGGAGTCTAAGTCTCTTTGTAGGTCACTCAGGACTTGCTTTATGAATCTGGGTGCTCCTGTATTGGGCGCATATATATTTAGGACAGTTAGCTCTTCTTGTTGAATTGATCCCTTTACCATTATGTAATGGCCTTCTTTGTCTCTTTTGATCTTTGTTGGTTAAAAGTCTGTTTTATCAGAGACTAGGATTGCAATCCCTGCTTTTTTTGGTTTTCCATTTGCTTGGTAGATCTTCCTCCATCCCTTTATTTTCAGCCTATGTGTGTCTCTGCAAGTGAGATGGGTCTCCTGAATACAGCACACTGATGGGTCTTGACTGTTTATCCAATTTGCCAGTCTGTGTCTTTTAATTGGAACATTTAGCCCATCTACATTTAAGGTTAATATTGTTATGTGTGAATTTGATCCTGTCATTATGATGTTAGCTGGTTATTTTGCTCATTAGTTGATGCAGTTTCTTCCTAGCATCGATGGTCTTTACAATTTGGCATGTTTTTTCAGTGGCTGCTACTGGTTGTCCTTTCCATGTTTAGTGCTTCCTTCGTGAGCTCTTGTAAGGCAGGCCTGGTGGTGACAAAATCTCTCAGCATTTGCTTGTCTGTAAAGGATTTTATTTCTCCTTCACTTATGAAGCTTAGTTTGGCTGGATATGAAATTCTGGGTTGAAAATTCTTTTCTTTAAGAATGTTGAATATTGGCCCCCACTCTCTTCTGGCTTGTAGAGTTTCTGCCAAGAGATCCACTGTTAATGTGGTGGGCTTCCCTTTGTGGGTAACGCGACCTTTCTCTCTGGCTGCCCTTAACATTTTTCCCGTCATTTCAACTTTGGTGAATCTGACAGTTATGTGTCTTGGAGTTGCTCTTCTCGAGGAGTATCATTGTGGCGTTCTCTATATTTCCTGAATTTGAATGTTGGTCTGCCTTGCTAGGTTGGGGAAGTTCTCCTGGATAATATCCTGAAGAGTGTTTTCTAACTTCATTCCATTCTCCCTGTCACTTTCAGGTACACCAATCAGACGTAGATTTGGTCTTTTCACATAGTCTCATATTTCTTGGAGGCTTTGTTCTTTTCTTTTTACTCTTTTTTCTCTAAACTTCTCTTCTTGCTTCACTTCATTGATTTGATCTTCAATCACTGATACCCTTTCTTCCACTTGATCGAATCGTCTACTGAAGCTTGTGCATGCATCACGTAGTTCTCGTGCCATGGTTTCCAGCTCATTTCAGGTCATTTAAGGTCTTCTCTATGCTGTTTATCCTAGTTAGCCATTCATCTAATCTTTTTTCAAGGTTTTCAGCTTCTTTGCAATGGGTTCAAACATCCTCCTTTAGCTCAGAGAAGTTTGTTATTACTGATCTTCTGAGGCCTACTTCTGTCAACTCGTCAAAGTCCTTCTCTGTCCAGCTTTGTTGTACTGCTGGTGAGGAGCTGTGTTCCTTTGGGGTAGAAGAGGCGCTCTGATTTTTGGAATTTTCAGCTTTTCTGCTCTGTTTTCTCCCCATCTTTGTGGTTTTATCTACCTTTGGTCTTTCATGATGGTGACCTAGAGATGGGGTTTTGGTGTGGATGTCCTTTATGTTTGTTAGTTTTCCTTCTAACAGTCAGGACCCTTAGCTGTAGCTCTGTTGGAGTTTGCTGGAGGTCCGCTCCAGACCCTGTTTGCTTGGGTATCACCAGCGGAGGCTGCAGAACAGCAAATATTGCAGAACAGCAAATGTTGCTGCTTGATCCTTCCTCTGGAAGCTTCGTCTCAGAGGGGCAACCAGCTGTAAGAGGTGTCAGTTGGCCCCTACTGGGGGATGTCTCCCAGTTAGGCTACTCGAGGGTCAGGGACCCACTTGAGGAGACAGTCTGTCCATTCTCAGATCTCAAACTCCTTGCTGGGATAACCACTACTCTCTTCAAAGCTGTCAAACAGGGACATTTAAGTCTGCAGAAGTTTCTGCTGCCTTTTGTTCAGCTATGACCTGCCCCCAGAGGTGGAATCTACAGAGGCAGGCAGGCCTCCTTGAGCTGAGGTGGGTTCCACCCAGTTTGAACTTCCAGGCTGCTTTGTTTACCTACTCAAGCCTCAGCAATGTCAGACGCCCCTCCCCTGGCCTTGCTGCTGCCTTGCAGTCTGGTCTTGGACCACTGTGCTAGCAATGAGCAAGGTTCCGTGGGCGTGGGACCCTCCGAGCCAGGCGTGGGATACAATGTCCTGTTGTGCCATTTGCTAAGACTGTTGGAAAAGCGCAGTATTAGGGTAGGAGTGTCCCGATTTTCCTGGTACCATCTGTCACAGCTTCCCTTGGCTAGGAAAGGGAATTCCCTGACCCCTTGCACTTCCCAGGTGAGGCGATGCCCCGCCCTGTTTCAGCTCACACTCTGTGGCCTGCACCCACTGTCCAACAAGCCCCAGTGAGATGAACCTGGTGCCTCAGTTGGAAATGTAGAAATCACCCGTCTTCTGTGTCACTCATGCTGGGAGCTATAGACTGGAGCTGTTCCTATTCAGCCATCTTGGAACCCTCCTTATTTAGAGTTTTTATCATGAGTGAGTACATGATTTGACACATGATTTTCTGTGCCTATTGAGATGACCATGCAATTTTTGTCCTTTTTTCTAATGTGTATTAGTTGATGTTGAAATACAAAACCAACTCTGCACTTACGCATAAATTCCACAAAATCACAGTGCAGAATTTTTTTTTTATGTAGCCAAATTTAATTTGCTAATATTAAGAATTTATATGTCTATTTACTTCAGGAAAATTTGTCAGTGCTATGTTTTTTGTTATGATTTGGCTTTAGAATCAAGATTACACTCTACTTCTGGATTGAGTAGGATTTTATAAAATCCTTCTCTATTTTTAAAGCATTATGAGAAGCATTAGTTATTATTTCTTCTTTTAATATGTGATCTAATTCACCCATGAAATCATCTGGACCTTGGCATTTTTTAGTAGGAAGAGTTTTAATTAGTAATTGACTTTATTTGTTATAGGTCTGTTTAGAATTGCTATTTCTTCTTGAGTCAGTTTTATAATTTTTATTTTTCTAGGATTTTAAAAATTTCAACTAATTGTCTAATAGTGTTATCCCACATTGCATTCCTGATTTTGGTAATTTGCATCTTTTGTTTTCTCTTTAAGGCTTGCTAAGGGTTTTCAATTTTTTAATCTTTAATTATGTCACCTGTACTTATTTTGTTTTTTTAATTTTATTCCATTATTTTCAGCTTTATTAAAGTATAATTGACATTTTAAAATTGTCTATATTCAAGGTGTACAATATGATGTTTTGATATATGTATACCTTGTGAAATGTTGACCACAATCAAGCCAATTAACATATTTATTACCTCACATAGTTACCCTTGTATGTGTGTGTGTGCATGTTTGTATGGGTGTGTGTGTTTGGAGGATACCTAAGAGGTGCCCTTTGGCAAATTTCAAGTATACAATATATTATTAATACCTATAATCATCATGCTGTACATTAAGCCTCTAACACTTACACATCTTATAACTGTAAGTTTCTATCCTTTGACTCACATTTCCCTATTTCCCCCACATCCCCTCAAACCCTGATAATCACCCTTCTGTTCTGTTTCTATGAGTTTGACTTTGTTAGAGTTCACACAAAAGTGAGGTCGTGCAGCATTTTTCTTACTGTGTCTGACTTATTTCACTTGGCATAATATCCTCCATATTTATCCATGCTGTTGCAAATGACAGGTTGTTTTTCTTTTTTAAGGCTGAATATTATATATCTATCACACTTTTTAACCTCTTCGTACATCAATGAACACTTGTTTCCATATCTTGGCTATTATGAATAATGCTTCAATGGACACGGGAGTGAAGATATCTCTTTGAGATCATGGCTTTCTTTCCATTGAATACATATCCAGAAGTGGGAATGCTGAATAATATGGTGGTTTTATTTTCAATTTTTTGAAGAACTTTTATACTATTCTTCATAATGGGTGTACAAATTTATACTCCTACCAACAATGTAAAGGATTCCCTTTTCTCCACATTCTCACCAACACTTGTTTAGTTTGGCTATTGATCGTTCTTTGTTTTGTAAATACTTAAGGAAGCTTAGGTTATTGATTTGAGAAATGAATATGCTCTGTATGATATGAATATTTTAAAAATTATTAAAGCTTATTTTGCCTCCCAGCCTACAGTTCTTCACACAGAAAATTCTATATGTGCTTGAAAAGAATATGCAGTCTGCTATTGTGGAGAGTATTATATAAATGTCATTTCCGATTCATGGTGTTTTTCAAAAGATTTCTATTTCCTTGTGTATTTTTTTCAATTGTTTTATCAATTATTGAGTTTGGGATATTAAAATCTTCAACTATTATTGGTAAATTGCTTATCTCACTCTTTAATTTTATCAGTTTTGGTTCATGTATTTTAGGGATCTAGTGTTCTTTATATATGCATTTATGATTGTTATATGATATTAGTATAGCCACTCCATCTCTCACGTATTTTTGTGGGGTATATAATTTTCGACCTTCTTACTTTCAACTATTTACTTCTTTGAATCTATGGTATGTCTTTTGTATACAGAATATAGTTATAACTTGCTTTTCTATTCTACATAACAATGTGCCTTTTATGATGCATGCTTAGTCCATTCACTTTGTGATTATTGATATGGTTGAAATTTCACCTGTCATTTTGCTATTTGTTTTCTGTTAGTCTTGTGTCTTTTTTTGTTCCACTGCTTTTTCATTGCATTACATTTGTTTAAATGTTTTTGGTGAATGATTTCAATTCATCTTTTTATTTTTTTACCATTTTATTAGTGATTGTTCTATAAATTACAATATGCACATTACTATATAATTTACTTCAGAATAATATTAACTTAATTCCAGTAAAATTCAAAAGTTTTGTTTTAATAAATGTTTAATTCCTCCCCCTTGTTGTGCTATTATTATAATATATATACATACATATACAGACACACACATATATAATATATATAATTTACTCGACAATAGAGTATTATAATTATTTTTTCATCCAATTCAAGCCTGTTAAGGAAATTTAGGGAAAATTAACTAAAACGTGTATAGAGTCCTTCACATTTACCCATATATTGAGTATGTCCAGTACTCTTCATTTCTTCCTATAGATTCCAGTTACCATCTGGTTTTATTTTTCAGCCAGAACTCTGTGTTAAATCCTCACCTAGTCTGCTGGTGGACACATTACCCCAAAGAGGACCAGAACCTCAGGGTAGTGGAGTTGCTGGCCCTCCCTATTTCCTTGCCACCAAAATTGCCGTGCTAACTGACAGAGCTCCAAATCACGGAAGCTGCCTCACGAGTACAGGAACAAAGCTGTGGGGTTTCCTTATCTGACCACTGTTGATAGAGCTGGAGGCAGTGGAATGAAGCAGCCTTGCCAAAATGCTAGGCAACTGGCTGTTATTTTCCAAAGTTCAGTCGTTTCAATAAACAAGCTTATATCTCTAATGGATTTCCAGGGTGTCAAAATGGATCTTATTGACAGCTTGCCAGCTTTATACATGCTTTGTAGGGGAGAGGATGTGTTAGCCTCCTCACTCCATCACACTGGAAATGAATGTCTGTTTCTATTTATTGCTTTTTAAAAGTCTGTGGGATTAAGGGTTTTGTTGCATTTATCTTCCTTTTTTAGCTTGAAAGTTATATTTTATTAAAAAATTTAACATAATATTTTATAACATATGTATTTGGAATTTTTGTAATAAATGTTTAGGGTTAGCCTCCTCACTCCATCACACTGGAAATGAATGTCTGTTTCTATTTATTGCTTTTTAAAAGTCTGTGGGATTAAGGTTTTTGTTGCATTTATCTTCCTTTTTTAGCTTGAAAGTTATATTTTATTTAAAATTTTAACATAATATTTTATAACATATGTATTTGGAATTTTTGTAATAAATGTTTAGGGTTAACTTGTATCTATATCATTATCCTGAAAACAAAACCTAGCAAGTTTTTTTATTTTACTTTTCTTTAGATCCCAATTTTCGTGGTCTTTTTGTCCAGAATTTCAGTTCCAATCTTTCTGGGCATTTGGGCAGGGAAGAAAATATGACTATGGTGTGTGTCCAGTCCTTCTTGTTAAAATTATAAATAATATTTGGATATTACATGTGAGGAGAAGCTAATTCTCAGGTTTTTATTTTGGGAAATTGATTAATGGTGGCACCAACAACTGACTTAGGGAACAAACGAGTGTCTTATTGGTTTTGCTATTGACATAAATTCCTCTTCACTGTTTCCTAACTGATGACTCTGAAAGAGGCATTAAGATGTGTCTGTTAAGATCTGCTTTGGATTATTTGAATTTAAATTGCCTGGAACATCCAAGGTAAGATGAACCTAGAAGGATCTGGGAATATATATTAGTAATTCATCTGTTTGTAGACTCGAGTTGATGTCATGAGAGTAGATAAGACCACTTAGGAAAATAAAGAGGGCCAAGGAAAAATATCTCAAAAATATAAACATACACTTAGATAGAAGAAATAAGTTATAATGTTCAGTAGCCAAGTAGGGTGACTATAGTTAACAACAATGTATTGTATATTTCAAAATAGCTAGTAGACAGAACTTGAAATGTTCCAACATATAAAAATTATAATTACTCAAGGCGATGGATGTCCTAAATACCCTGACTTTATCATTTCACATTCTATGCATGTAACAAAATACCACATGCACCCCTTTAAATATGTGCAATTATTACATTTCAATAAAATAAAAATTTTAAATACCCATGTATAAATCATAGGGACACAGCAAAGTTAAGTAAAAGGCTAAATTCTGAAAGGGAGAATTTTTAAAAAAGTAAAAAATAGATCCATAGTAGCCAAAGCTCATTAAGAAATAAATCAAGCTTAGAAAAAATGAGTGCCCCTTAATTTAGAAATAAAGGAGTAATTGGGGACTTAATAAGAACAGTTAAAGTGCACCAAAATGTAAGTATCTTAAGGCAGTCTAGAAGTCAGACTGTCTGGGGTTGGGAAGAGAAAAAAATATGGATAAATGGACTGTTTCCTAAAGTGTTTGTCATAAAGGGAGGGAAAAAATAGGATAACACTACAGGGAGAGGCAAGCTAAAAAAACATGTGAAAACAATCTAGGAAAAGAAACAGAACCACAGAGCTATGAGGACAGCTATAGAAAAACCTCAAAGGCAAGGAATGAATGCTGCATATACTATTAGGATGGGTGCGTGCACAGGGAGGAAATGTGTATATGTGTACGTGTATGTGAGTGCATGAGTCAGGGAAGGGAAGATGCAGGCTATTTTGGAACGTTTCATGCAAATTTGGCACGCGATTAAGTAAACCTTTCTAATCATTTTTCAGGTTCCAGAGTTCAACGTGGAATCCTGAACTATGTCAACATTACCAACTCAGATAGCCCCCAATAGCAGCACTTCAATGGCCCCCACCTTCTTGCTGGTGGGCATGCCAGGCCTATCAGGTGCACCCTCCTGGTGGACATTGCCCCTCATTGCTGTCTACCTTCTCTCTGCACTGGGAAATGGCACCATCCTCTGGATCATTGCCCTGCAGCCCGCCCTGCACCGCCCAATGCACTTCTTCCTCTTCTTGCTTAGTGTGTCTGATATTGGATTGGTCACTGCCCTGATGCCCACACTGCTGGGCATCGCCCTTGCTGGTGCTCACACTGTCCCTGCCTCAGCCTGCCTTCTACAGATGGTTTTTATCCATGTCTTTTCTGTCATGGAGTCCTCTGTCTTGCTCGCCATGTCCATTGATCGGGCACTGGCCATCTGCCGACCTCTCCACTACCCAGCGCTCCTCACCAATGGTGTAATTAGCAAAATCAGCCTGGCCATTTCTTTTCGATGCCTGGGTCTCCATCTGCCCCTGCCATTCCTGCTGGCCTACATGCCCTACTGCCTCCCACAGGTCCTAACCCATTCTTATTGCTTGCATCCAGATGTGGCTCGTTTGGCCTGCCCAGAAGCTTGGGGTGCAGCCTACAGCCTATTTGTGGTTCTTTCAGCCATGGGTTTGGACCCCCTGCTTATTTTCTTCTCCTATGGCCTGATTGGCAAGGTGTTGCAAGGTGTGGAGTCCAGAGAGGATCGCTGGAAGGCTGGTCAAACCTGTGCTGCCCACCTCTCTGCAGTGCTCCTCTTCTATATCCCTATGATCCTCCTGGCACTGATTAACCATCCTGAGCTGCCAATCACTCAGCATACCCATACTCTTCTATCCTATGTCCATTTCCTTCTTCCTCCATTGATAAACCCTATTCTCTATAGTGTCAAGATGAAGGAGATTAGAAAGAGAATACTCAACAGGTTGCAGCCCAGGAAGGTGGGTGGTGCTCAGTGAGTAGGATGTCCCTCCGTGTTTGGTGGTACAGGGCTCCTGATACTAAAGTTTCTGTGAGAACTCAGCTCACCAAGCATGAAATGATCATTCACGTACACATAAGTGCATATATGTGCATGTAGCTTCCTGTCCCTGGAAGTATGCCTGTGTATATTGATGCAAACTTACAAGCCCCAAAGAATGAACATGATCCACCCACTGGTACATTACATATCAATGACATAGGAAGGGCCAGAGTCCAGATCTTGTCACAACTATCCAAGTGTGTGCCTGTTGTTATCTTATTGTTGTTAGTCCTGTCACTATATCTATACCTTAATACTGGATAAAGCTAGAAGAGTTAATCATCTACATAGCAAAGGAAAAATAAGACAGAAGCATTCTTCTCAACTAGATAGAAGATCTTCCATTTGTATTGTACCTCCTTAAGAAGTAAGAATTCTGACCAATCCTTAGGAATTAGATACATGAGGAAAATGCAAGTAAGTCTCTCATTTAGATTCTTCACACCAAGAGATAGGTTATTTAACTCTGATCAGGCCAGGAAAAAAAGAGGGAATATAATTTTTTTAATTCTTCATTTAGTTTTCAAAATGTTAGTATATTTTTGAATACATATGTATATTGAATGTCCTCAACACAAAGAAATGAGAAATGTTTGAGATTATAAATATGCTAATCACCCTGATCTGATCACTATACATGGTATGCACCAAAACATCACTATGACTATGCATAATTATTGTCAGTTTAAAATAAAATTTAATTTAATTTTTTAAATTTTTGCATATTTCAGAAAAAATAGAACAAATAAGAATAATCTTAAATTACATCCCCCAAACTTAACTATAATTATCTGTTTAGTGAACACTTATAATGTTTTATGTAAATGGAATCTTACAAGTGGCATTTGGAATTATCGGTCTCAATTCTTTACTTCCTAGTAGCAGCAGTATACATTCACATCCACATCAGGAGGGACAAAGTGGACGGATTGTATTTACATTCACTCTCACTTTAGACACATAATTTTCTCTGGCCATTGTGGTCCTCATGACTTGTTTTGGTCAATAGGATGTTAGTGGATGTGATAAAAGCAAGAGCTTCAGTGTGATTTTGCTGCAGGGTTTGATTTCTTGTACTGGGGTAGTGCTAACCTAGTAGGTAATTCCCCTTGAATCTGGTTTCCAGAAGGAGGTACATGGTGCAAACCTGAGCCAAATTCAGAGCCTGGAGCCAGTCCCTGGTTCCCAGAGAACTGAAGCAAAGCCAGCAAGTCAAAGCAGCCTAGATGAAGAGGGTCTCTGACAACCTACTGACCAGTGAGAATTATAACAAATGCTGTAGTTGTAAGCATCTGATATTTTGTAGTTGGTATACAGCAAAAGTTAACTAACAGAGTAATTACAGTCTTATTCTGTGAACATGGTTAATCTATTTTTTTGATGCCAATACAATTAATCACATGTGTGTTATGAGGAGCACTATTGTTGTAGCACAATAATTGACTAACTTTAATAAATATATATTTTTTATTTTTGTGGGTACACAGTAGGTTTATATATTTATGGGGTACATGAGATGTTTTGATACAGGCATGCAATGTGAAATAATCACATCATGAAGAATGGGGTATCTATCCCCTCAAGCAGTTATCCTCTGTGTTATAAACAATCCAATTACATTCCTTTAGATATCTTAAAACGTGTGATTAAGTTATTATTGACTAGAGTCACTCTATTGCACTATCAAATAGTAGGTCTTATTCATTCTTTCTATTATTTTTTATACCCATTAACCATGCTCACCTCTCCCCCAGGTTCCCACTACCCTTCCCAGCCTCTGGTAAACATCCTATTCTCTTTGTCCATGAGTACAATTGTTTTCATTTTTAGATCCCACAAATAAGTGAGAACATGCAATGTTTGTTTTTCTGTGCCTGGCATATGTCACTTAATATAATGACCTTTAATTTCATCCATACTGTTGCAAATGATAGGATCTCATTCATTTTATGGCTGAATAGTACTCCATTGTGTATATATAGCACATTTTCTTTATCTATTTGTCTGTTGATGAATGCTTAGGTTGCTTCCAAATCATAGCTATTGTGAACCATGCTGCAGCAAACATGGGAGTGCAGATACGTCTTTAATATACTGATTTCCTTTCTTTTGGGTATATAACAGCAGTGGGATAGCTGGATCATAGGGAAGCTCTAATTTTAGTTTATTGAGGAACCTCTAAACCATTCTCCAAAGTAGTTGTACTTACTTACATTCCCACCTTGGCAGCATTGTCTGTCTTTTGGATATCAGCCATTTTAACTGGAGTGAGATGAGATCTCATGATAGCTTTGATTTGAGTTTCTCTGATGATCAAGGATGTGGAGAACTTTTACAGATGCCTGTTTGTCATTGTTTTTCTTCATTTGAGAAATGTTTATGTACCTCTTTTGCCCATTATTGATTAGATTATTGGTTTTTTTCCATGTGGAGTTGTAGAGCTCCTTATATATTCTAGTTATTAATCCTTTGTCAGATGGGTAGTTTGCAAATATTTCCTTCCATTCTGTGGGTTGTCTCTTCACTTTGTGGATTGTTTTATTTGCTATGCAGAAGCTTTTTAACTTAATGTGATCCTATTTGTCCATTTTTGCTTAGGTTGCCTGTGCTTGTGGGATATTGCTCAAGAAATTTTTACCCAGATCAATGTCCTGGAGAATTTCCCCAATGTTTTTTTGTAGTAGTTTCCCCAAAGTTTTCTGTAGTAGTTTTCACTTAAATAATTTGGCTATTCTGGTTATTTTATGGTTCCATACAAATTAAGATTGTTTTTTCTATTTCTGTGAAGAATGTCATTGATATTTTCATTGGAATTGCATTAAATCTATAGAGTGCTTTGGACGGTATGGACATTTTAACAATATTTATTCTTTCAGTCCATGAACTTAGAATACTTTTCAATTTCTTGGTACCCTCTTCAACTTCTTTCATCCGTGTTTTATAGTTTTCATTGTAGATATCTTTTATTTATTTGGTTCAATTAATTTTTAGGTATTTAATTTTACATGTGGCTATTGTAAATGAGATTACTTTTTAATTTCTTTTTCTTTTTAATTTTTGATCACTGTTGGCTTATAGAAATGCTACTGATTTTTGTATGCTAATTTTGTATCCTGCAAATTTACTGAATTTGTTCCTCAGTTCTAATAATTGTTTTGGTAAAGTCTCTAGGTTTTTCCAAATATAAGATCGTATCTTCTGAAAATAAGAATAATCTGAATTTTTCCATTCCAATTTGGATGACTTTATTTCCTTTTCTTAATACTCTAGCTAGGACTTCCAATACTGTGTTGAATAATAGTGGTGACAGTGAACATCCTTCTAGTGTTTTAGATCTTAGAGTAAAGGCTTTCAGTTTTTCCTCAGTGTGATACTAGTTGTGGGTCTGTCATATCTGGCTTTTACTATTTTGAGATATGTTCCTTCTATACCCATTTTAAGGGATTTTATTATGAAGGGGTGTTGAATTTTGTCACATGCTTTTTCAGCATTAATTGAAATGATCATATGGTTTTTATCCTTCATTCTGTTGATAGAATGTATCCCATTGATTGATTTTCATATGTTGAACCATTCTTGTGTCCCAGGGATACAGCCCACTTGCTCATGATGAATTATCTTTCTAATGTTTTTTTGAATTCAGCTTGCTAGTATTTTGTTGAGGATTTTTGCATCAACATTTATCAGAGATACTGGCCTGTAGTTTTCTTTTTTTGATGAGTCTTTGGTTTTAGTATCATGGTAATACTGACCTCATAGAATGAGTGTGGAAGTATTCCTTCCTCTTCCATATTTTGGAATAGTTTGAGTAGGATTGGTATTAATTATTTAATTGGTTGGTGGAATTCAGCAGTGAATCCATCGTATCCCAGGCTTTTCTTTATGGGAAGGCTTTTCATTGTGGCTTTGATCTTGTTACTTGTTATTTGTCTGTTTATATTTTGGATTTCTTCGTGGTTCAATCTTGGTAGGGTGTATGCATCTAGGAACTTCTCCATTACTTCTAGATTTTCTAATTTATTGGCATATACTTGCTCGTGATAGCCATTATCCTTTAAATTTCTTCAGTATCAGTTGTAATGTTTCCTTTTTCATTTCAAATTTTATTTATTTGGATCATCTCTTATTCTTTCTTAGTCTGGCTAAAAGTTGGTCAATTTTGGGGAAATTTAACTTTTCAAAAAACCTTTTTGTTTTATTGATCATTTGTGTTGTTTTCTTTGTTTCAATTTTATTTATTTCTGCTCTGATCTTTATTATTTATTTTCTTCTTATAACGGTGTACACCCATATGCATGAACAAAGAGCTTATATCTGAAACTGAAATTTATATTTAAAAGGGAAGCAGAACATATGAGTTTGGGAAATTTGCAGCCTGACCATGTGGTAGGCAATAAAAACCTATTTTTCTGGGGATAAATTAGAGCCAGCTGCATAAATTTGAATAAATAAAGAGGAGCCAAACGTTAATAGCCACCACAATGGGGAAAATGTCTCCCAGGTATTTCAGACCTTCACTGCAGCCCCTCCCACTACAGGCCTGGAGGCCAAGGAGGGAGAAGTGGTTTTGTGAGCCAGGCCCAGGGCCCCATTGATCTATGCATCCTTGAGACATGGCACCCTGCGTTCCAGCCACTCCAGCTCCAGCCATTGCTAAAAGGAGCCAAGGTACAGCTCGGACTATTCCTTCAGAGGGTGCAGGTCCCAAGCCATAGCAGCTTCCATGTGGTATTGGGCCTGTGGGTGTACAGAAGGCAAGAGTTTAGGTTTGGGAGCCTCTACCTAGATTGCAGAGGATGTATGGAAAAGCCTGGATGTCCAGGCAGAAGTCTGCTGCAGGGGTGGTGCTCTCATGGAGAACTTCTACTAAGGCAGTGGAGTGAGGAAATGTAGGGTTGGAGCCCCCACACAGAGTTCCCACTGGGGCACTGCCTAATGGATCTGTGAGAAGAGAGCCACCATTATCCATACTCCAGAATGGCAGATCCACCGATAGCTTGCACCATGCACCTGGAAAAGCTGCAAGCACTCAAAGCCAGCCTGTGAAAGCAACTGCAGGGGCTGTATCCTGAATAGCCACAGGGGCACAGGTGCTGAAGGCCTTGAGAGGCCACGCCTTGCATCAGCATGCCCTGGGTGAGAGACATGGGGTCAGAGGAGATTATTTTGAGGATTTAAGATTTAATGACTGCCCTGCTGGGTTTCGGACTTGCATGGGAACTGTAGCCCCTTGGTTTTGGCCAATTTTTTCCATTAAAAATGGGAGCATTTACCCAATGCCTGTACCCCCATTTTCTCTTGTAAGTAAATAACTTGTTTTTCATTTTACAAGTTCACCAGTGTGAGAAACTTGCCTTGTCTCAGGTAAGACTTTGGACTTGGAGATTTGAGTTAATGCTGGAATGATTTAAGACTTTGGGGGACTATAGGGAAAGCAGGATTGTGTTTTGAAATGTGAGAAGGCCTTGAGATTTTGGAGGGTCAAGGGGCAGAATGATATGTTTTGGCTCTGTGTCCCCACCCAAATCTCATGTTGAATTGTAATTCCCAACGTGGAGAGAGGGACCTGATGGGAGATGATTAAATCATGCTGTTCTCATGATAGTGAGTAACTTCTCATGTTATCTGATGATTTAAAAGTGTGTGGCACTTCCCTCTTCACTCTGTCTCTCTCCCGTCACCATGTGAAGACGTGATTGCTTCCTCTTCACCTTCCACCATGATTGTAAGTTTCTTGAGGCCTCCACAGCCTTGCCTCCTGTACAGTCTGTGGAACTGTGAGACAATGAAACCTCTTTAATTTATAAACTACCCAGTTTCAGGTAATTCTTTATAGCAATGTAAGCATGAACTAATATACCATGAGGCTTTCAAATACTATTTTATAACCCATTATTTTAACCTAATAACAACTTAACACTCTTTGCCTAAACAAGCTAAAAGAAAACCAATAAAAACTGCACCTTAACTTTGTTTCTGCTGCATTTTAATATTTTTTTCTGTTTATACCTTATTGTGCTGTCTATGTCTTGAAAAGTTGATGTAGCTATTATTTTTTATTTATTTATTTTTAGACCTGCTACTTGGCATAAGAGTAGTTTACACACCACAGTTATAGTGTTATAATATTGTGTTTTCCTAGGTACTTACTATTGCCAATGACTTTTGTATTACTACCTTAAAGTGATTATTTATTGCTCATTAATGTCCTGTTCTTTCAGATTAAAGAACTCCCTTTGAGACAGAGTTTTGCTCTTGTTGCCCAGGCTGCAGTGCAGTGGCGTGATCTTGGCTCACCACAACCTCTGCCACTGAGGTTCAAGTGATTCTCCTGCCTCAGCCTCCGGAGTAGCTGGGATTACAGGCACGCACAAACTCACATGGCTAATTTTTGTATTTTTAGTAGAGACGGGGTTTCTCCATGTTGGTCAGACTGGTCTCGAACTCCTGACCTCAGGTGATCTGCCTGCTTCGGCCTCCCAAAGTGCTGGGATTACAGATGTGAGCCGCCATGCTCGGGCTAGCATTTCTTATAGAACAGGTCTGGTGTTGAGGAAATTTCTCAACTTTGTTTGTCTGGGAAAGTCTTTATTTCTTCTTCATCTTTTAAAGATATTTTCACTGGATATATTATTCTTGGGTAAAAGAACTCTTCCTTGAGAGCACTTTAATTATCTTATGTTACTCTCTCCTGGCCTGTAAGTTTCAAGTGAAAAGTCTGCTGTCAGATATATTGGTTTCTTTTCTCTTGCAGCTTTTAGGATCCTTTCATTATATTTGATTTTGGGGAATTTGATTATTAAATGCTTTGAGGTGTTATTTTGGGGGTTAAATTGATTCGGTATTCTCTAACCTTCTTGTACTTTTATATTAACAACTTTCTCTAGGTTTGGGATGTTCTCTGTTATTATCTCTTTAAATAAATTTTCTAACTCTTATCTCTTTCTCCATCTCCTCTTTAAGACCAATAACTCTTAGAATTGCCCTTTGAGGCTATTTTCTGGATCCTGTAAGTACGCTTTGTTGTTTTTTATTCTTTTTTGTTTTGTCTCCTCTGGCTGTGTATTTTCAAATAGCCTGTCTTCAGGCTCACTAATTCTTTGTTCTGCTTCATTAATTCTGTGATTAAAGGACTCTAATGCATTCTTCAGTATGCCAATCGCATTTTTCAGCCCCAGAATTTCTGCTTGATTCTTTGTAAATATGTCAATATCACTGTTAATTTTTTCTGATGTAGTTCTGAGTTCCTTCTCTGTGTTATCTTGAATTTCTTTGAGTTTCCTCAACACAGGTATTTTGAATTCTATCTGAAAGGTCACATATCTCTGTTTCTCCAGGATTGGTCCCTGGTGCCTTATTTAGTTTATTTGGTGAGGTCATGTTTTCCTGTACAATGTTATTCACTGTTTGGTCATTCAAGAATTGTTTATTTATTGTAGTCTTCACTGTCTGGGCTTCTTTGTACCCATCCTTCTTGGGATGGCTTTATAGATATTTCAAGGGACTTGGGTGTTGTGATCTAAGTTGTATCTACTTTAGGGGTAACCCCAAGCCCAGTAATGCTGTGCTTCTTCTAGACTCATAGAGGTACCGCCTTGATGGTCTTAGACAAAATATGGAATATTCTCTGGATTACCAGGCAGAGACTCTCGTTCTCTTCCCTTACTTTATCCCAAATAAATGGAGTCTGTCTGTGTTCTGAGCCACATGAATCTAAGGGTGGGGTGACACAAGCACCCCTGTGGCCACCACCAGTATGTCTGTGCTGGGTCAGACCTGAAGCCAGCACACCACTGGATCTCACCCAAGGCCTGCTGTAACCACTTCCTGGCTGCTGTCTTTGTTTGCTTTAGGCCATGGGGCTCCACAATCTGTAGTTGGCAAAGCCAGCCAGGCCTGTGTCCTTTCCTTCAGGAAGGTGAGATCCCCTAGGCCCCAGGTGGGTCCAGAGATGCTGTCGGGGATTTAGGCACTAGGGTCAAAAGCCTTAGAAGTCTACCTGGTGTTCTATTATACTGCAGCTGAGCTGGCACTCACATCACAAGATACAGACCTTCCCACTCTCCCTCCACTTTTCAAAGGCAAAGGACCCTCATCCTGTAGCCACCTGCCACTACTGGCCATGAGGAGTACTGCCAGAAAACCACAGATGTTCCTGTAAGGCCCAAGGGCTCTTAAGTCAGCTTGTGGTGAATACTGCCTGGCCAGGAACTCACCCTTCAGGTCAGTGGGCTCCCCTCTGGCCCAGGGCAGTTCCAGAAATGCCATCCAAGAGTCAAATCCTGGAATGGGGGATCCCAAGAACCTGCTCTACACCCCTGTGGTTGTGCTGGTACCTACGGTGCAAGAGAAAGTCCTCTTACTCTTCCCTCAAGCAGAAGGAGTCTCTCCCCATAGCCAGCACAGCTGGTAATGTGCTGAATCTCACCTGAAGTCAGCAAGTCTCAGAGGCTAACCCAAGACTCTTGACGTAGTACCTGGGTATTGCTGCTTGTTGTCCGGGGTCCAAGGGCTCTTCAGTTAGCAGGTGATAAATGCTGCCAGGACTAGGTCCTTCCCTTCAAGGCAGCAGGTTCCCTTCTGACCCAGGATGTGTCTAGAAATGCCATCTGGTAGCTAGGTTCTGGAACAAAGGCCTCAGGACTCTGACTGGCGCTCTATTCTGCTGCAGCTGAGCTGGCCTGCAAGATGCAAGACAAGCTCCTCCTACTTTTCTCTCTCCTCTCCTCAAGCAGAAGGAAGGGGTCTCTTTTGGTGCCATGAGCTATGCAGCCTGGGGTTAGGGAAGGCATGATACCAGCACTCCCTTAGCAGCCTCAGTGTGTCTCGGTAGGTTGCATCCCTCTCTAGTCCACTGTCTCTGGACCAGTTCAGCAACAGGACTCGTTTGAGAGTTGCAGTCCTTGTGGCCTAGACTGCCTTTCAAGTTTACTTAAAGACCCAGATCACTTTGGTCTGTGGTGGTGAGGTTTACAGGAAGTCCAGTTTTGACTGCTGGGATCAGTGATTCCCCTCTGATTATGGCTGTTTTAAATGCTCCCTCCATGGGTGAGCATCAGCTGAGTTTGGTCCAGTTTTGTTGTTGTTGTTATTTGTTATTTTCCTGCTCTAACAGGACAGCACTGAGTTTAATGCATCAGAATTTCATTTCTGACACCAGTGTGTCTGCTCTCCCCTCTCCAAGCACCCAGAGACATTCTCTGCACCACACTGCCATTGCCATTGCCTGATGACAGGGGCAGCGCGGCATCGGCGATTCAAGGTAGGTTTTTAAAATATTTTCAGTGCCTTTTTATTATAAGTTATTATAAGGACTCATCCGACTTTTTTGTTTTTAAAAAAGTGTTTCTTATGTACAGGTGTTAAATCAGTGTCCTTGTGGTGGGGGGACAATTGGTGGAGCCTTCTATTCCTACATCTTGTTCTGTCCCTGCCCTCTGAATCTCGATAACTTTCTATATGCCTTTCTGCATCTTGTTTTCTTATAATAGAAATTCCTCATTCCTCCAAGTGCACTAGTATGGATTTAATTCATTCAAATGACGACATAATCATAATGTTCCATGGTGTGGATCAAGGTAATTTATTCAACTGTTTTCTACGAGTGAGTATTAGAGTTGTCTTCAGTTTTATGCCACTCCAAGCAATGCTCTAATAAATGCTCTTCTACAATTCCCCATGTACACTTAGGCTATTACTTCTGAAAGACTGATCTCCAGGTCACGATTGCTGGCTTTAAAGGATTTACATGTTAAAAGTTTACATGTTTGTTGGTAGATTCTTTTCTCAAAAAATTACAGCAATTCATATCATACTTTTTTTTTTTTTTTTTTTTTTTTTTTTTTTTTTTTTTTTTAGACAGAGTCTTGCCCTGTGCCCTGGCTGGAGCACAATGGCGAGATCTCGGCTCACTGCAAGTTCTGCCTCCTGGGTTCATGCCATTCTCCTGCCTCAGCCTCCCGAGTAGCTGGGACTACGGGCACCCACCACCACGCCCGGCTAATTTTTTTGTATTTTTAGTAGAGACAGGGTTTCACTGTGTTAGCCAGGATGGTCTTGATCTCCTGACCTCGTGATCCGCCTGCCTCAGCCTCCCAAAGTGCTGAGATTACAGGTGTGAGTCACCGTGCCTGGCCAGCAAATCATACTTCTATACTATGTCAGAGAATGCCTTTTTCTTGCATATACAACAAAATTGACTGCTCTAATATTTTAAAATTTTTATGAATTTAAATTAATAACATTTTAATTAATTTTACTTTATGTAAAATTAATAGTAATCAATGTTACTTTAAACACATGGCTGCCTCCATGTGTTTATAACTCTGTTAAATTAGGGTAGCAGAAAACTGTCTCTCTTTCACAGCAGAGCCTCAATTGTTCTTTCCTTGTTCCTGCTGTCTCCTGCACACTGGCCAAATCCACACCAATTCTGTCAGAACCTTCAAGTATATAATGGTTTTTATTACTTTAATTACATAAAGTAAAATTATTTTACTTTAAAATAAGTTAGAATTATCTAATTTTACTTAATTTTAGATTTTGCTAATAGTAAAAATGAATGTCTTTCACATATTATTGATTATTTTTGTTTCCTCTCCCATGAATAGCCTATTCAAATAATCTTCATCCATTTTTCTATTGGGTTGTTTATATTTTAAATATAAGTGGGTGGGTCACACCTATAATCCCAACACTTCAGAAAGCTGAGGCAAGAGAATTGCTTAAGTACAGGAGTTTGAGACCAGGCTGGACAACATAAGAATATACCATCTCTTCAAAAAATTTAAAAAATAAATAGGCATTCATGGTGGCAGGTGTTTATAGTCCCAGCTACTAAGGACTCTGAAGTGAGAGGTTCACTTGAGCCAAGGAGGAGGAGGCTGCAGTGAGCTATGGTTTCACCACTGCAACCCCGCATGGACAACAGAACAAGACCTTGTCTCAAAAATAAATAAATGTTAGGTTGGTGCAAACATAATTGCAGTTTTTGCCATTAAAAATAATGACAAAATAGCAATTACATTTGCACCAACCTAATAAATAAATAAATATTTCCAAAACATTTTTGTTTTATGCCTTTCCCAATCTGGTATTTGTCTTTGATCTTGTTTGCCAATCAACTCTCAAGCAAATACAGGTAGTATTATTTAAACAAACCTAAATTTAGTTTCCTTTATACTTTTTGTGTTTCATATATTGCTCTAAAAAAGAGGTCTTTGGCCAGGCGCGGTGGCTCACGCCCGTAATCCCAGCACTTTGGGAGGCTGAGGTCAGGAGTTCGGGACCAGCCTGGCCAGTATGGTGAAACCACGTCTCTACCAAAAATACAAAAAAAAAAAAAATTAGCTGGGCATGGTGGTGCACACCTGTAGTCCCAGCTACTCGGGAGGCTGAGGCAGGAAAATCGCTTGAACCTGGGAGGCAGAAGTTGCAGTGGGCAGAGATTGCACCACTGCATTCCAGCCTGGGTGACAGAGCAAGACTCCATCTCAAAAAAAAAAAAAAAAAAAAAAAAAAGATGTCTTTGATTCCAAGCATTCAATGCACTATCTCTTATACTATTTTCTAAAATTGTTACAATAGTTTTTACTTCTAAGTTTTTCTGTTAGAAGTTTAAATTTATATTAATCAAGGTGGATATTTACTAATGGCAGAATCACCTGTTAAATACATTCTTTTTCTCACTGAAATAAAATACTATGCATATCATATTATAAATTATATGTATATATAATATTGTGTATATATAATATACAATGTATATCTGTGTGTGTATATAAGTATACACAGTGTACTAACACTCTTAGTTCACTTACTGTATACCAACCAAAAAATCTCAGGTGCTCACCACCACAGCATTTATTATAATGCTTGCTGGTCAGTAGGTTGTGTAGGTGTATGCATTTTGCTTTGCAGATCTTTTTAGGAATGACAACATATCACTTATTTATTATAGCTTTATAGTGTGATTTACTTAATATGAGATGTAAAGCAAACCCAATCTCACAAAACAAACGAAAGCTTTGGATTTCTAGGAGGTGTTAAATTATATTTATAGATTAAATGTAAGAAAATAAACATTAACGGTAAGTTTTCACATGCAAGAGTGTATAAGTGTTTCATTAACAGTTTTTTCTGTTTTCCAATAAAATTATTTGCTTAAGTTAAATATATTTATATATGTATTTTATAAATGTATGTCTTTTGTTTCTATTATAAATAAAGCAGTTCTTATCTTACAGTAAAACATCTGTATCATAATGTGGGAACATAGAGATATTCAATAAATGATTTGGAATTAATAAAAAAACAGTAACTATATTTAAACTTTGTATGCATGATTAATCAGAATAAAGAGCTTTATAGCTGGAAGTTTCTTTAATCTTCCCCCAGCTCCACCTCATTTTATAGACAGAAAGCTGCAACTTTGGCCTGTGGAAAGCACCTTTGAATGGTCCTGTATAAGTCAGTGGTAGGTATTGAACTGAAACCCAACTCCTCTGGCTGCCTCCATGTGTTTATTACTCTGCTAAATCAGGGTAGTAGAAAACTGTCTCTCTTTCACAGCAGAGCCTCAATTGCTCTCTCCTTTTTCCCACTCTCTCCTGTACACTGGCCAAATCCATACCAATTCTGTCAAAACCTTCAACCACATAGTGGTTGTTATTAATACCCCCGGCCAGTCTAGGATCCTATCCTCCCTCTGCAAATCACGTTAACTTGACTGATAAGTTAAGGGGAAAAAAAAATTTCTTAACAGCACACAGAGGGGAGAAAGTATTAGCAAGCACATTTACAAAGTGTAACAGTGGTACACAGAAGGTGGATAAAACTGCAGATCGGGAAAAGCCTTGCAAAAGCCAGATCTCTGGGTTGGTCTACTTGATAAACAAAGCTCTCCAGGATAGCAACCAGAATGTTACTCGTGTGTGTATGTGTGTGTGTGTGTGTGTGTGTGTGTGTGTCAGAAAGAGAGAGGAAGAGAGAGAGAGGGGGGAGGGAGATATTGAGAATTCATAACAGGGATCATAAGTTCAAATGTTTAGAGAAGCCAAGGAAATAACATAAATTTATAAAACAAGTACATATTCACACTGTGAGTAGTGGGATCTTTATTAACCAAGAGGCTTAAGACTTCTCAGGGGTTGCCTACTGAATGTTTGAATGTTTCCATGGGGGAATATAGGTCTACTACTTCCATGTCTTTCCATATTTAAGATAATTTATGTCTATATTTTATATATTTTGTGTGTATAATTTTATATATATATAGACAAAATAATCCAAACACTGCCATGTCCAAACAAAACCTGTCTGAAGACCATATTGAGATCTTAAAGCTTTTAAACACATTAACTTATTTAATCCCTGGAATGTATGGAGAAATAATTATGTTCTTAATTTAAAAGTACATATGAAATATATCATAATACATAGGAAGTAATTTTCTCAATACCACACAGCCAGGAAATGGCAGAGCTGAAACCAGAGGACCTGTTCCTGACCGAGTCCCTAGTTTTTCCATTCATTTGATCTCCCTGGAAGGACTGAGCTATCACAGTAAGGACTTTAGAGGACACGTAACCCTGATGGGGTTTATTTACTCCTTCTTCTGTGGGTTAGCTTCTAAATTCCTAAATTCTCAGCCTAGAGTTACACTATATCTTATTCTTTAGGAGTGATCCTGGACCCTGATGTAGTAAATAAGGATTGCACAGTCCTAGTGACTCCTAAAGTTTCCTTGCTGACCCTTTCTCATTAGGAGATCATTGGAGCCCTTTGGTCTGGTTCCATTCACAATGCCATAAAGTGAGAGGTGAGACTAGGGAGGCTCAGGTATTAAAGTTATTTGGGTGTCTACTTGGCCACAGTGGTGCAGATTCTGTGCTATCATTACTCATGAACAGTAATATGGAGCGCCCCTCAATTCAGAAGGCAGCATCCAAGGGAAGAATCCACATCTCACGAACCTCCTTATGTATCTGCAATGTTAACTTCTTACTATGAGGCATGCAGAGGAGAGAGTGCTGTGTTGAGCCTAGATGATGACTGCTCTGATGCACCCTAGAATTCTCACCCCAGAAAAACGTGAGGGGCCTGGCTTCAGGATGCTACCTCTTTTTCTTTAGACTATTTTTTTTAGTTCAAACTGATATATTAATAGATCTACCAAGCACATACCATCGACAGAGTACTTTGTTGTCAGGAGAGTGAAAGTTGAATAATTCGTAACTCTTGTCCTGTGGAAATTTACAGTATAGTTAGTGAGAGAGATATATGCATCATGGTGGAAATACATATGGGCCTGCAACCATTGAGCACCAAAGTTTCAGTCCCTTATCTTTACTATAAACACTGTCAAGTGCCATGGCCCTTCTATAACTTCCTCTCCAAATTGACTTCCACCAAAATTTGCTTCACCAAATGACATAGTCTCTATGTTTCCCTTTCACATCACCCAAGAAAAGTGTTCCTTAAACACTAACCTACATGCCAGTCACCTGAGATCTTGCTAAAATGCACATTTCAGCTCAACAGGCTTGCAGCAGGACATGAGATTCTGCAGCAATTTTAACAACTTTCTAGGTAATGCTGTTGCTGTCAGTCAGCAGACCACACTTTGAATAGCAAAGTAAAGAACATACTTAGACAAACTCAGACACTTTATAAAGAGTTTAATGTAAATCACAATGAAAATAAAATAAGAGGAGGTAAATATCAAGATGTTAAATAGTACCAGAATTTTGTAGGACTCTCCCAGCCACAGTTAAGGGCTACTTTTCCTAACTTCTCATTAGAAGATTTGCAAGAGTTTTGCTCTTCCTTCTCGTGTCTGAGAATTGAATTTATCAATCACCCAAAGAACAACAAAATGATTTGTAACATTTTCATGAAATATAAGCCTCTTCTTTATCAAAAGTAGAAAAGCTGTGGTATATTAGATGCTCCTTAGGGATTAGTTGATTGAACAATTAATTAATTAATGCTAATTTAAAAACTTTGAAGTAAATAGAACCATTTCCTATTTGGATGAAACACTGTCCTTCTCCTAAGAAAATGTATTGTGAAAAAAATAGAATTTCCACCTTTGCCCCATCATTTAGGCTTCAGAGCCAATTTTTCCAGGACCTTTACTCTAATCTGCCGAGTTTTTACACAATACACAATGGGATTCATCAAGGGTGGTACCAGCAAGAATGCATCTGCTATCAGAATCATAGCTAAAGGGGATTTATGCTTAGCAAAGCGACGCATGGTAGCCAAGGTGATGATGGGCACATAGAAGACGAGTACAGCACAGATATGAGACACACAGGTGTCAAGAGCTTCGAGGCACTCCCCATGGGATGCAATACCCAACACAGTCTTCAGGATGAACACATATAGGAAATAGCAATAAAAACACTGTCTGACATCATGCAGAGTGCAACGAACAAACCATAGTAAAAGTTAACCCTGTTGTCAGAGCAGGCCAGCTTCATTACATCCTGGTGAAGGCAGTAGGAGTGGGATAAAAGGTGTTTATTACAGTATCTGAGTCTCTTTAAAGTAAAAGGGGTAGCACTAGGAGAATGCTTTTAATGGCAAAAGCCAGTCCAATTTGCAAAACCCTGAAGCTGGTGAGAATAGAGCTATATCTTAGGGGGTTGCAAATGGCTACTAAGTGATCAAAGGACATGATTAGGAGAACTGAAGACTCCATGTCTGTGAATCCATGGATGAAGAATTCCTGGGCAATGCATGTATCAGCAGAAATCCCCATGTTGTTGAACAAGAAGATTCTCAGCATCGTGGGTAGGGAGGAGAAAGACAGGCCCAGGTCGGACAGGGCCAGCATGGAGAGGAAATAGTACATGGGCTCTTGCAGGGAATGCTCTGTTCTGATAACAAATAGGATGGTGCAGTTGCCCAGGATGGCCATGAGGTACATAAGGCAGATGGGGATAGAGATCCAAATGTGTGCATGCTCAAGTCCTGGTATCCCAATCAATAGGAATGTGGAGACTTCAACTTCTGAGGTATTGAGCAGAAACATCACAGATAGGTCACTAGCTTATCCACTCGTGGGTCTAAAGAAAGATGCACAATAGATAAAAGTTTTTAATTGTACTTGCTGAACATATTTAAGTTCAGTTGTTGGTTAAATTAAATATAGCTCAATCTTAGGTGTCAAGAAATAGCATAACATATATTTTCCTATGTAAAGAAAACAATGGAAAATATTTAAACAGGTTCATCACAGGATTCATTTAAAACCTGTGTGTTATTTTTCTATCTTTATTCCCTGATATATTTCTGAATAATTTTCTAGCTAGAAAGAAGGTGCTTTGATACCCGCTTTTTTTGAAACCCTTGCTTTTTGAGATTTTTGATTCAATTAAACTAAGTGGAATGTGTTATAATCTACTATCACGCATGTGGTCAATGGTCATGTACTCACACAAACCACAGATGCATGCTATAGTCACAGCACTTAAGGGAGACCTAAATCTTATGTTATCAATCTTGGTACACATCTGTGAAAATATATAGAATTGGTCTACCACAGAGGGTGGCAAACTGTAATGCAGAGTCAAACTCAGCCCATGGCCTGTTTTGTACAACATGTGGGGTTTTTCTATTTTTAAAGAATATTATTAAAATAAAAAACAAGAGAATAAAAAGCAGATGTGGTAGGGATGATATGTGCCTGAAAATTATACACATTGTAAAATGATTCACTTTTTGGATATTCACAGAAAAAGATAGGCTCAAAACCTCAGAGAGATCTTCAAGTCTGGTAGCAAACACCATTTGCCAGATCTTGACAGTAGCCTGAGGCAGGGCAGTGTGAGTAAACACAGCACCTCAGTGAGCAGAGGAGGAAGGGCTCCTCTGACCCAGCTCTCATGACTTAGATGGCCAGTGGCAGCAAGAGGTGCAGAGAGGATGGCCACGTGTGATCATTTGTCCTTTCATGGAAAGTCTCTGAGCACATCTTGGCAAGTGTAGATAAAGAGGAGATTGCATTCAGCTAGAAGAAACTAGAAAGTGGTGGGTAGAAATAGAAAGTAGTGAAGGAAAGGGGAACTAGCAGCTACTCTGTATGCTGCAAAATTTTTTAAGGACCTTTGCCTCATATTGACCCGAGTTAGGAGCTATGAGGCAGGCTTAGTGTTATATGTGACCAATGCATCCTTGTTATGCATCCCATAACATAGATGCCATTTGTACCTGTTTAAAGTACTCACCACCTTACAGTGCAATTGCTACTGGCCCTGCTCAGAATGGTCACAGCTCTTGTCTTTGTCTGTTCACGGATTTTTTCCTATTGCACTTGGCTTCTGTGTGTCTACCCTTCAGATTGGTGACCAGTGCAGGTGTCTGTCTCTGGAATTTGGGTTTGATCCTGATCATACTCCTGGAGTCAGCTTTACTGACACTTTGGGTAACTTTCCTTTCAAGAGCTGTAGAATAAAAGCTCCAATGGTATGGCTAACAGCCTGTTATTGGTATGGCTATGTAATGGTATGGCTAACAGTCTGAATTCTGACAGAGACAAAAGCAATAACACAACATCTGTCTCCCTTCAATGAATCCCCTCGAAATGAGCCATTCCCAAGGTTTCATGCCTGAGGGCTTTCTTGACAAGCTTCCAGTGTAACTCAGGTAACTCAATACATGAGTTACTATTGGCAACATTGTTGTATTCAACTGTATTCATCATGTAAATACAAGTAAGTACCCCATGCTACATGTGGACACTAGTCTTTTCAGCCATAAAACTTTTCCAAAATGTAGCTTGATCTCTTAGGTTGAACAACCCATGAAATATTTTTACCTCCATTCCTCTGAAAGACATAGGGTTGATCTCTATAAACTACAGTGTTTTCATTGGAAAAGATAAAACCATCCTAAGGAAATTCAATTTCATTCACCAGAACACCTACCAGGCTTATGGCTACCTTATTCCAGACCAAGAATGGAAAGCCTTCAGATCCTCCAGCTTCTGCAGCTTCTCTGTTCCAGCACTCTGTTGGGAATCTGCACCTTTGTTTATATCTTCATACTCTCCTTTAGCCGAGGAACACCCTCCTGAGAATTAATAGGCACCTAGTCCCCTGGGAACAATGACTTTTGTTTTAATTTTGCTTTGATTTGTCTCATCAATGTCTGTTAATAATGAGCTCTCTTAAGTGAGCAGGCTCTGAATCACAGTGACGGCTTTAACTGATGTGATCCTGTTCCCACACAGGTGCAGGATTTGGGTACAGTCACTCTAAGGCATTATCAAAGACAGCCCAAATCCAGCAATGGCTCTATCTAAGATTCAGTGTATGTCTTAAAAGGCTCAACATAAGCCAGTCACTGAGGTCAGAGACAGGCAGACTTGAGGTGGAATCCTGCCCACAAATGTGTTCTGTTTGGTCATCACAATGTCTAGACAGATTTTTAATGTGATGGCTTTAGGTAAGTAACAAGGTCTCTAATTTATCATAGGCTCCTTCTTTCCCCATTGTCTTATATCTAGCCCCTTAACATTTATTGGTCCTCAAAGGCACTTAATCTCACAAAACAAAAAGTAATGCCCAGGGTCACAGCATGCTTAATATCTCAGACCCTCACGTTCAGAAGGGAAATTGTTCAGCCCAGTAACTTTGAAAATTAGAAATAAATAAATTGTATAATTCTGCTGGCAAGTTGTGCAGGGGCATATGATTTTCAGATAAAGAAAATAGAAAATAAGATTTAGCAAAATACTATTGGCCTGAAACAAAGTATATCACATAAATGAACCAACTTAGATAGCCGACAATGATGACTTCATCTTCAGGTTAATACAAGAGGTGATGTGATGGAGTTGGGGGCTGTAGTAATCAGTTAGGACAGGCAGAAAAGTGGAGAAAAGAGTCCAGTAAACTAGCAGACTTATACTATAACATGGGCCTAGTTGGCTTAACACCGCTGAAGATTTGATAATATGCAGAGCTCTGATAAAGCTGTAAACCCTACTTAAGGTCAGAATTTTTTTGGTATTTAGTAGCCTTTTACTGCAAGATCATGCCAGTAGAAATACAGTCAGGATTATGATACCTAATATTCTGCCTTCAGGAAAATGTCAGTCCTAGTTAAACACTGTATTATTTTCCTAAAGCCTTAGGTCCCCTAGACTCAAGGCTTCACTGGACTTGGGTAGAGGCAGCACTGAAACTCCCGGGCAGATGGGTGACTGAAACCAGATTTGTTAGGCCCTGAATATATTTAGAGCTGCTTGCTGAGGATGACAGACAAAAGCGATACAGAATATCCTTTGAAATGGTCCTCTTTATTATTACTGGACCAGAACAAAATAACCATGAAGGCCTACTCTAATTCTAGCCCAAAATATCCAGCCTAGTTTCTCAACTTATTGCTCTGGCAAATTGCAGCTGTCATGAAAATATAATTAAGGCCTAGAAAAGAAGCACATAAGTGTCGAACCAAGAGAGCATTGCAGACCTAGTTAGATTATCCTAATTAGAGAAGATAACCCTAAACGGTTGTGTTCATTCAAACTTTAATCTTTATTCAAACCTCCACCCATTAGGAAAATACCTTTTCTGATAATAAAAAATCTCCCCCCGCTTTCTAAAATAGATAGTACAAGTAAATTTTATTCCTTTCCCCATCAATTCTTATGTTACCTACCACAAACAGCATATCTATTGCCATCATCATTCATTTATTTGATGTGTATTTCTTGATGACCTATTATGAACAATGCATTGTGTCCAGCTACTGAGAAACACAGATGACCAAAATAGATGCATTGCTTTTATTGAGCTTATAGCTCAGAGGACAACTATGGATCGTCAGTGAGTAGGATAATCAATATAAAAAGCTTTCAGAAACTTTTAGAGGTAAACTTCCAGAAAACCTTGAGCCTAAACCTAGAGCAGTTTTTAGCAGGTAATGAAGAGCACCTCTTCAGTCTACAATGGCTTCAAAAAACGAGGAGCACTGCTTCCTCACATTCCTATTCTTATACACAGATAGGAGACATAATTCAATTTGATTTTTCACATTCAGAAAAATGTATATTTTAACTAGAGTATTACCAAAAGGAGTGCAAGTTTCTAATGTTGATGTATTTTTTCCAGCATCAGTCCACAATCATAATGGAATTTATATGGCTCATGTTTGCCTTATGGCACATCCTTCTATTAGTTCCTGACATGTATCTACATCATTTTGAGTGGAAAATTAATTGGTCTCCAGATCCAGAAAAGGCTACAGGGTCACCAGGTCAAAAAAGCAACTAGAACTATGATAAAAATTACAAGTTTGTCTTTGTTGTGTTGTGTTTTTTTTTTTAGGGAGAAAAACAATTAGAACTCTCATCTTGGAAAGGCTAAATTTAGGTAATTTTTAGGAAAAAGATGAAATAAAATCTATTATCTTTCTTCTATTTTTTTCTCTGATTTGACTTGCTACCCTAGCTCTTCCTCCTCCATTTCTGCTTTCCCTTACTTCTCCTTTTTATTTATTGTTAACAACAATAAATAATAACAATATTATTATTAATATCACCATTTTAACATAAAAGGGTGTAAACTTAGAAATAATAAATATTCCCTGCAAAAGCATTTTTCTCTCAGCAGCCTTCCTGAGACCACTTCTGTATACTTTATGTGCTCATAGCACTTTCTCCATTGCCCTGGAGCTATCCCCATACTTTCTAAAAGACTTGGCCCCTGGATACCTTTTTCAGGATCATTTTTCTTCTCTATTTGGAGTTTTTAAAAAAAGGAAACAAGTTGGTAAGCATATCATTTTAATTGACTTTACAGGATTAAATAACAGAACTTGCACCAAAAACAATAACAAAAAAGATCAAGGATAGATTTTCAGTACAGCAGAAGAAATGGCTCATACCTCATTCTGAGGTGACTGCATTTTCTGTGAACCTACAAGCTCTCCAGGATAGAACATCAGTTGACCCTGTGAATTCGCTGCTTCTAGTGCATCACCGCAAATCTTTTAGCCTCATTTTCCAATCACTGTTACAGCAATCAGACTCATTTAGTCATTGGCTGGCTTTTCGCAGGAAGAATCTGAAAACCTCTCAACCTAGGCGCGTGCCATGTACCTCTTGTTTCTTGCCCCAAGACTGACACTGAATGATGAAATATCTACATGTACTCACTTGGTATCCATGCATGTACAACCCAGAAATAGGGGGAAATTAAGGATTCATGAGGTAGACTTTCAGCAATGGGAAAAAGGATCCAATGGATTAACTGTTTCTGTCTTTTTATTTTCCTGGGTTGAGTATCCCGAGACGTATTTGATAAGGCTTCAGAGGTGGCCCTGTAGGATTAGGCAATAGTCACCCATAATGGTATCTGGATTATTATTGATATGCCATTTCTCAACCTCCAAATTCCTTTTTACCTGCTCTGTGATGAAGATGTTGGGCCTTATAATGTTTTGCTAGCTGGTACAATGTTAAGATTTGTCAGTAGAGGGTAGTGGAGGCACACTGAAAGGAGAAGAAGAGGTTTTTCTCTTCCTGGTTTTATTGTGGTTTGCCAACCAGACTCCTACAAATCATGATTTTTCTTTATTGCTTGGCTCTGTGTGGTTCCTCCAGGGCTCAGTTCCAGCAGTGCATAGCTTTCTTCAGCATTTCACCACTGAGCTTGTTCTCCAGCTCTCCACTGAAACAACAATGGCATAACCTGGAACCATAGGCATAATAGGCCAGCACTGAAGCTGAGATAGCTTCTTCTATATCTTCTCCTTAGCCCTGAATATCTGTGTGCACATCAGGGGCCCCATGGGACTAGTCTTCTAGCAAGGTAGTCACTCAACTTATCCAGAGAAGGTGGGCTGGAGCCACCCCAGGTACAGCCACACATGGAAACGCATTATACTCCTAGAAAGAACAGTCTTTCCAGCTCCCAGGTACAGCAACGCCCAATAATCAGCAGTTTCCCTTGCACTTAGAGAGTTCTGGGGCTTGGCACCTTCTTACGGAAGGCCTTTCCTGCAACTATCAGAGGGCAGATTTATGGAAAACCTCACTGATAAGGCCCTTTTGTGAGTTCACCAGCCTAGTGCAAGGGAAGGAATCCTCCTTAGGTGCTTTATCCCAGTGCTTGGGGTAATGGTTGCCCCTTATAGCTGTTTCTACTGAATTCTTTATAACTCTCTTTAACAAGCTAATTTCTCCACTATTTTAGCTCCTTGTTAATAATTCTCTAAATTAAATTTTTCCTGTTAAAATTATTGTATGATTTCTGTCTTTTGATTGAACCCTGATTAACGCAGCATCAAACTCAATGAGGTGTTTTCTATCATCTTATTCTTTCTCCTTCTTTAACTTCAGTTGTTCCTCATTCATGGTCCCTGGAAGCACATTATCATTAACATGCTCAATTGATAACAAAATCTGGTTGCTAGCAGTCAGAAGGCTGACAATAATCCTTGAAATTCAATGGCATCACAATTACTAACACACTCATTTGTGATTGACTGGATGAAGTTCAGGTGGAAGGTAAGGTATTAGTTTATATAGTAACTATGGATCTGAATCTAGTCTTCCATTTTTACCTAAAACATCTAAAGATTATGGAATGGGCTGATTTTATTATCTGCCTCAGAAATCTTGAAATAAGAGCTAATCAGATTGGGACATCCAACTCACAATGCAGGGTATGCCATGAAAATCAAAGGTTCTCTGTAGGAACACTGACAGAAACCTTTATCTCATTCAGACATAGATTATACAGCTCTAAAAATCAGGCAAAGGATTTCACTAAAAAGGTGGCAGAGCTACAAGGCAGGCTGCTCAGGTTTGACAGATCTTCTGTGATAAAGTCAAAAACCTTGAAAAAGACTAGAAATACAGTAATGGGAAAATGATGAGATCCTCATTCCTGGAATGTTGACATTTGAGTGAATAAGTCTTCAAATCTTGAGACTTTTGAATATTTTATGCCAGAAGAAACAGATCCCTTCTTACTTTTCAAAGATAATTCATTTATTACTGTCTGGAGACCTTACACAAACCAAACCTGAGTGTGATGCCTCACAACTGATACCTTTCCTCCACAAGAACTGCCCTATCATTTCTCATTGCACCCAAAATAATAACCAATCAGGTCTCAGCAAAGCCTGAAAAGAGGATTTTTATTAACATTTTTGGAGAAAACAGCTTATTTACTGAAGGCATTGCAGAACCTACTTAATTGGACTAACCGGAATCAAATGAGTAGAGTGGATCTTGAAGGTGTTAGATCCAGGCAGCAGTGGAAGTATGTGGTAGTATGAATATTAATTAACAGAGAAAAGTTTATTGACATGAAGGCATTGATCCATGATTAGAGGTGCAATATTATATCAAGGATACCCAGAAACTGTGCTAATGCACTACTGAGACGGTTGTTTCAAGATTGGATATGATAATGACCACAGAAAATTAGGTGGAGATGCCAAATATTCTTGGTAAAATGTGGACTATAGAAATATCAGGGAAGTTGACATGTTAGAATTGATTTATCCTATAGGACAAGAGAATTTACCACATGATTATTTTCTCCATGAGGGAAGAGAAATGTCTTCACAGAGGCAACAAAGAATGCATTTGTAAGAGGAAGTCTGGTTCATTTCAAAGGTCAGCAGTTGCCGTACTCTGTAGGCTACACATAACAATGAAAGATGCTTCTGTGGAAATGGGCTTCCTATTAACAATGAGAATGAAGGAATTCTGAGACCACATGGCAGTACTTAAAAATCGTATAAGTGTGTATAATTTTTATAGAGGATAGAAAGGCTAGAATGGCTGTCAGAGTGATGGGACCCACACTGATATGTTGCAATATATGATAGTCTTCCTGGAGACGAGCTAAATGAACAGTCTTCTAGGATGTACCCAGCATACATTTGCAATAGAGAACTTCTCAGCACCAGGCTGACATCAGCCATATGATGGGAAGTCATGATCCCTTAACCTGTTTAAATATTTAAGTCACTTCATGTATACAGTACCCATTAATTGAATATGAGTCTTGGTCTCCCCCACAAAGTGTCCCACAATGCTACTACCAGTATGTAATAAAAATTATCCAGATTTCCCCCCAAACAGTCTAAGGTCATTTACAAATGTAACTGTTCATTAAACAAAGAATACCCAACTCTTTAAGGACTCTTATATATAGGTTATCTAAGGTTATATCTAAGAGTTCTTAAAGAGTTTGTTCACTCAAACATATCATCATGCTCTCTTTTGGTTAACTTATAAGATTATTGAGAGTGATTAATGGAGTTATGAACAACGTTTATCTCATAGTCAGCCCAATAATTTTTCGGCTTTACTTGTGGTTATTCTTCAGATGCTTAATCACATAATTGAGGATAATATACTTAGCAACAGGAAAAACTCTTACGTTGTTATGCTATCTGAGACATTTGAGCAATTATTGTAGGGATAATGATGGACAAGGTCAAAAAGCACAAATAATTTATGTGAATAGTTGGCCCAGAATCCTATGACACTTGTCACTGTTGTATGGATGTCTCGGCATTAATTCACATCCATGGCCTCATGGGGGATTTCGTTAAGTTTCTGGAAAAGGAGGAAAATACTCAGGCTTAGTTCATGAATAGACTGGTAGACAAGTTGATGCTAACCAAAAATTGTGTGCAGTGGCACAATAGCCCTACCTTTGATGGCATAAAGGAGAGTGGTGAAGGAAAACATTTCCAAAGGGCAGAGTTGTGAGTAGTACTCTTGGTTGTTAATGTTGTTTGGGGGAGAAGTTGTCTGAAGTCTGTGGATATACATGGACTAGGACTTTGCTAAAAGGCTTGGATAATTTGTCAACAGATGGAACTAGCAACTTTGTTAGAAGAGATGTAAGAAAGTCTGCATGTGATGTGCTATTGAAGCACACACAAAGGATGAAAAGCTCTGTGTCTTATGTTAATATTCACTACAGAGTATTCACTTCAGAGGAGGGACTCAACAACCAGCTATAAAGTATCTATACGTTGATATCAGCCAGCCTTTGCTCTGCCATTGCTAGTCCAGTGAGCCCATAAATGAAACCATAAAATCAGGGATAGAGATAAATATGAGCCAAAAGTACAGATTCTCTTACACCAAGATAAATCTTGGTTTAAAAAAAAATGAAAAATAGTGTTATCCTTACTCCTAGAATGTTAACAATGTAATTACCAACTTTTAACTCTTCAGCTAACAGCAGCAGTAACTGATGCTGAGCACATAATATGGTATCTTGTATTTACATTAGGTAGCCCCTGCACATAATAAAGGGCAAAATAATTCCATCTAGATAAGACCCAATGTGGAATTACATTGATGTGTATTTTAGGATCCACCCTATAGAATCTCTATTTTGGAATCGCATATATAATCAAGAATTTCAAGAAAAGAAACTAATTAAAGTGTTTTCTGTGTGTCATTCAGAAAATAACAACTGACTTATTTAGAAAGTTTCTCACATTAAATGTGAACTTTTATAATTGTATACAGAGCCTGAATTAATACTTTATGTAGCTTTCATACTGCTTACAAATATAATTAGTTGTTTATATATGTTTCTTCACTTCATATTGAAAACAAAATCATAATTTAGTTGGCAATGACATGAATTTATTGACAAAGAAATTGACTAAATAAATGTCACATAACCTATAAATTGCTTAGTTTGGACTGTTGGAGGCATGTGTGGGCACTTTGGGACAATTACTCCATTGTAGCAAAGCACTTATTCATAAATGGCTTTATCTCTAATCAGAAATAGCTGATGATTAGATTTGGAGTGCTTCTGAATTAAGACCTTGATAATGGCCTTTTGAATCTGCTTAATCTTTACACTGTAAATAATAGGGTTGAGCACAGGAGGGATTAGCAGAAAGACATTGGCCATGATGATGTGGACAAATGGAGGTGCTGAATGGCCATAGCGATGGACAAGAGACAAACTGATGAGAGGGAGGTAGAAGATGGAAACAGCACTGATGTGGGATGTGCAGGTGTTGAAGGCTTTCCGCCTCTCTTCTGAGGAAGCAATGCTGAGGACAGATCGAATGATCAGGATATAGGAGAGCAGGATGCAAGGGCAGTCAAACCCTGTAGTGGACAAAAGCGCAAACAGACCAAGGATGCTGTTGATCCTATTGTCTGTGCAGGAGAGTTGGATGAGATCAACATGGTAGCAGTAAGAATGTGAAAGGACCATAGAACTGCAGAAGGACAACCTCTTGACAAAGAGCATGACTGGCAACATGACGGCAACATTTCTTATCAACATGCTCATCCCAATCTTGGCAATTCGGGCATTGGTAAGGATGGTAGTGTATCTCAGTGGGTAACAGATGGCCACAAAACGATCAAAGGCCATGGCCAGTAGAACCCCAGACTCCATGAAAGTAAATCCGTGTAGAAAGAACATCTGGGCAATGCAGGCATTTAGGTTGATTTCTCGGGCTTCAAACCAGAAGACACCAAGGGTAGTAGAAAGTGTACACAGGGACAAGCTCAGGTCTGTGGCTGAAAGCATAGAGAGGAAATAGTACATAGGCTTATGGAGGCTCCGTTCACAGAGGACCACAAACAGGATCATGCTATTTCCAGAGACGGCAACAACATATAGGAGACAAAAAGGGATGGAGATCCAGTACTGGGTGGCTTTCAGGCCTGGAATGCCCATCAGGAGGAAGATCAGAGGCTCAGCAATGGTATTATTGAGGACCGACATAGGGAAGCACTGAGAAGACAGGGATGTTTCAGTCATTTAACATAACACATAATACATAGTTTATCACTTGTAACATCTCTCTGGCACTTCAAGATTCACTGAGTTATTATTTCTAATTTTCAAAGAACTTGAATTTTCTTTTTAGCTTCCCAGAGCTACACATTTCTCTCCAAGTCTGTCAGTGTTTCACATTTATTGAGAAAAGTGAATTCCCTGAACTGTGCCACATCAAATTTTCTTAAGTATATTAAGCCTATAATTCTCATTACTAGCAATAAACATTACAATTAAGTCACGTCTGCCAATATAAATCCCCAGTAAAATTCCTAAACAATATTATGAGAAACCTGCTTTCCAGTACTTGTTGAAAATAAATTTTGATTCTGGAATAAAACACTGAGCAAACTAAGTCATATCTGAAATGTGAATATTATTATATTTCCTTGGAAAATATCCAGAAGAATGCCAAAAAATCCCTGGGACACACAGGCCCATATATGTGGTAATAGGGTGGCCCAAAAAAACACCCTAAGAAAAATAAATATTGATCGCATTTGTTGGGAGTTCCCTGTGTTGTTGACATTTTATATGCATTATATAATTTCATCCATACACCAACTCTTGGAGATAGATCGTACACGAATTTTGCAGATGAGCAAGCTAAGACTCAGCAATTAATCACCCAATGTTATCTTTATAAAGCACTGCCTAAATGTTGAGAGAAACCACAAAAGTAAGAAAGTTGGAGAAAGGAGAGAGACAACGATGACAGAGGAGGAGGAGAAGAAGGAGGAGAAAGAGAAAGACTAGTGAAGGTGGAGGCAGGTAAGAGCACAAAGGGGAAGAGGAGGAAAGTGCAAGAGGAGGAGGAGGAATAAGAGGAAGAAGGGAGGGAGTGAGAAAGAAGGGAAGGAAGAAAGGGAAGGAATGGAGGAAAAAAGCAAACCTTACCATAATTTTACTACAATAAATTAAGCACTACACTATGATAAATAATACCACAGACTAGTATCAAAATAAAAAAAACACAATAGCCAGCATTTCTTGAACATGTGCCATATGCCAGACACAATTATCTTCATATCCATAATATGATCCAATCATTATTATTCAACAAAGAAAATAAATTTCTTATCCCTAATATACATATGAAGAAACTGATATTTACATTAAGTAATTTGCCCCAAATTATGCAGTTAGGCAGTAGAAGAAATGAGGATGAAACCTGCATATCTAACCTCAATGCCTTCACTCAGTAAAGCTGAGGAATGCATAAAAGGAATTTCTAAACCAGTCTGACAAAGGCTCCAGGTGTATGATTTTAAAGAGACATACTATGGTCCGTGTGGTATCTTTGGAGGGGAGTTTGATGTGTCAAATGTTAATTCCATGTGAACTGTGGAGATATGAAGCTCTTTAGGCTTCTCTGGAAAGTAGTCTTAATATCGATAGTTCCTGTATGCAAAGGGCCAAGAAAATCAGGTATCCAGGCTATATCCACTATGGAAAATAACACCAAAATGGAACCATCAAATTCAGTTGAGGCCAGGCACAGGGTTCATGCCTGTTATCCCAACACTTTGGGAGGTCGAGGCGGGAGGATCACTTGAGCCCAGGAGTTCAAGACCAGCATGGGTAACATAGGGAAACCCCATCTCTACAAAAACGTTTACAAATTAGCCAGGCATGGTGGTACATGTCTGTAGGTCCCAACTACTGGGTAAGCTGAAGTAGGAGAATTTCTTGAGCTCAGAAGTCAAGATTGCAGTGAGTCATGAATGTGTCACTGTACTCCAGCCTGAGTGACAGAGAGAAACACTGTCTCAAAAAAAAAAAAAAAAAAAAAAAAAAAAAATCAGTCGACTCATTTCAGTGACCATCTCATTCTTTCAACAATACATATTTTGTTGATGATTCTGGAAATTTTCTCTCCCTCATTATTTTATGATACCAGTCTCTCTTAATATTCTCCCATTAATCAGCTCTTTCTCTGACTGTTTCAGTTTTCTTGTTTCTTTCCCCCCTCTCCCGGGTACCTTATGTTTTCCAACCTTATATTTGGCATTCTTCAGAGATCTCTCCTTTGCCTATTCTCAAGTCACTTGTAAAATTATCTCCCCCATTTTCACAGCCTCATATTTCACCTATACAATAATAAATTTCAAGTGAATTTCTGAAAACCAGTTTTGGTGTTTAGGTTCCATGTCTGAAGATAAAACTTTATTCTGGACATTTCCATCTAGATTTTTCATGGGTAAATAAGAAAACCTCCTATGTTCAAAACCAAATTGATTATTTTCTCTTATAACTGTTTTTCCTCCTATACCATTTTCTGTATAAAGGCTATAACTTTCATAAAAATGACCCAATTTTCTAAATCAGAAATCTAGGAGTTATCCTGTATTCTCTTATTTTTTAACCAACACCTCTTCCAATCTTTTCTATTCAACCTCTAATATCTGTCTTTATTCTTCCAGCTTGTCTTTATCTGAGTACAAAATACTCTTTTCCAAATGTATTCACTCTCTAACCTGGACTATTGAATTAGTCTAATACTGTATTTTATTAATATAGTCACATTAATATAATAATATAAAATGAAAGACTCCAAAGCAATAACAACATCCATTTATTAAGTACCTTCTCTATTCCGGAAACACATAAACGAGAAAAACAGTCTTTTAAGCTGAATAACAATGACAATACCACATAGCAGAAACTGTGAGGCAAGATGACATCCAAAACAACTTACAGCTTGAAGAATATAGGAAAAAATGATGGACAATATTAAGCTTCTAAGTTCTCAGTTTAAGAAGCTGGGATTATAATTAAATAAATATCGAAAGAAGCAATTAACAAAGATGAAAGGCACAAATGAATGAGTTAAAAATAAAACCAAAGTTATTTAAAAAGAATATAATGAATCTTTTTTTCAAAGACAGTCAAGAAAATTTTACAAAAACGATGAAAAATGAAAATAATAACAAACCTATGATTAGAGAACTATAACTTTAAATATAATGACTAGTAAGCACAATTATGATAATATGTTTGATGACGTACATAAAATAGATGATTTTATAAGAAAATATCGATCACCAAACTAGCTGAAGAAATAAAATCTAGCATAGAAGAAATGGTAATGATGGAAAAAATATTTACCAATAAAGCAAACAAGAGTAACTGTTTTGATTTTTGAGTTCTACCAATGTTAAAGAAAAGAGACTATTTCCTTCTTTTCAAACTTATCTAGCCCAGAAGAAATATTTGTTAGCAAACTACTTGCTGATATATCACTAATTCCTACACCCTTTAGTCTAAGCCTGTCACTCTGAGCCCTGCTTCCCAGTATTTCTACCCCTGATTTGCAGTCCTTTGCCTCTGAGCACTTGCCTCTCCACTTCCCATTCCTCCCTTTCTGCTCTCTCTTGTCCCCCAGTTTAGACCTCAACAGTCTCTGCCTTCTTGGTCTGCTCTTTCTCATGCTCTCATACCTTACCTGGCTCCCAACAGAGGAAGAGGTGCCCTTTCTACTCACTCTCCAGCCAAGTGTATTTGTAGATGGCTCTTGGACCTGGCCTTCTCTAAGAAGCCCTGCATATAACCCAACCCTGTTGCCAAGAGACCCTTGGGACTTGACCCAAGGTGTAATGACTAGAAATTCCCAGGAGATTCCTCACACTAGACTGAAGCAGATCCAAATATGTTTACAGCTTCCTTTTAATTATTGCATTATCTTTATAATATTTTAAATGAATATAAATGTTATTTTTTCCATTTTTCCCCCAAAATATGAAAAAGTTTTGTAGATTTTTGTTTGTTTGTTTGCTTTTTTAAGATGCAGTCTCACTCTGTTGCCCAGAATGGAGTGCAATGGCAGAATCATGGCTCACTGCAGCCTTGACCTCCCAGGCCCAAGCAATCCTTCCACCTCAGCATCCCTAGCAACTTGGACTACAGGTGCATACCACCACACCTACCTTTATGTATTTATTTATTTTGCAGAGAAGGGGCCCCATTACATTGTCCAGGCTGGTCTCAAACTTCTAGGCTCAAGATATCCTCCAGCCTTTGCCTCCCAAAGTGCTGGGATTACAGGCATAAATCACCATGCCCAACCTCCATTAACTTTAGATTCTACTTCCTGCTATGCAGAGTGCAAGGAACAAATGCCCTTACACTTCCCTTCTTCTCTTCCCTCTCCTTTCCCAAATTTAGTCCCCATAGTATAATACTTTCCTAGGCCATATATAAAAATGTACATACAATCTTATAGCTATGATTTTATATTTGTTTAGGTTATTCGAACTTCAAAAGCAACAAAAAAATTATTAAAATATAATTAAATAATTATTCAACACGGGATACAGAATATATGGTATGATTAGAAAAATAATGACACATCAACCTATGTCACTAAACGTGCCACTACAAAAGAAGGCACCCCACTTTGGGAGGCCGAGGCGGGTGGATCACGAGGTCAGGAAATCGAGAACATCCTGGCTAACATGGTGAAACCACGTTTCTACTAAAAATATTAAAAAAAAAAAATTAGCCGGGCGTGGTGGCGGGCGCCTGTAGTCCCAGCTACTCGGGAGGCTGAGGCAGGAGAACGGCGTGAACCCATGAGGCGGAGCTTGCAGTGAGCCGAGATCCCGCCACTGAGTTCCAGCCTGGGCAATAGAGCGAGACTCTATTTCAAAAAAAAAAAAAAAAAAAAAAAAGAAGGCACCCATTCATCAAAAGAAAATCAATTATTTCCTTTCATACTAATTCAGTTGCCCATAATCATATCAATTTTTTTTTGTTTTGGACCATAGTTTTCTGGAAGAACTTTTATGTTGTCTCTGGAATTTAAATTATCTTTCGTTTTGTCTGATAGCAGGATAAAGAAAAGCTTTTTTTTTTAATTATCTCACAAATGACTTAAAGAGAGGTACTGCAACAATAATAGTAGAGGACTTCAACATCCTACTTTCAGCAATGAACAAATCACCCAGACAGAAAACCAATAAAGAAACCTTGGATTTAAATTACGCTCTACACCAAATGGACCTGACGGACATTTCATCCAGCAGCTACAGAATACATATTCTTCTAGATTGCATATGAAACATTCTCCAGGATAGATCATCTGTTAGGCCACAGAACGAGTCTTAACTAATTTGAGAAGATCAAAATCGTATCAAGTATTATTTCTGAAAACAATAGTACAAAACTAGAAATCAATATAAAGAAACCGTGGAAAATACAAACACATGGAAATTAAACAACATCTTCCTGAACAACCAACAGGTTGATAAAAAATCAACAGAGAAATTAAACAATTTATTTAGACAAATGAAAATGGAAGTACAATATACAAATACCTATGGGACAGCAAAAGCGGTATGGGAGGGACGTTTATAGCAATAAATGCCTACATCAAAAAGAGTAGAAAGATCTCAAATTATAGTTATTTGTTGATAAGGAAAATTAAATGCTTGTAAAATTGAGTGAACACGTAAATATCCTCAAGATCTTGTTAAAATGAAAATTCTGACTCATTAGGACTGAAATGGAGCCTGAATTCTAAATTTCTGACATCACTCCTGTCTGAGGCCATATTTTGTGCAACGTTCTAATATGTTCTGCATTTCTTGAGGCATGTCGGATTGTTGTATTCCTGGGATTATTTTACATAGCATCCATAAGTAGTTTTAATTCATACTTGGTTATCATTTGTTGAACTTTACTGTATACCAATTTCACTTGCTGAAGCATATATTCCAGGATTTTTCATTCCAAAAAAAGTACATAAATGATAAATTTGCTGTGTTCCCTGTCTAAAATTTCTTTCTTTTTTTTTTTGTTATACTTCATTGCTGTGCTGACTATATGAAAAATAAATAAATCTAAAGACTCCAAAATCACTAAGCCAAAAGAAAAAGTCAAGCTGGGAACTGTGTCAGGTAAACCTGCCTCCCATTTTATTCCTATAAAAGTTAGCTACTAAGTATAAAAAGCTACATACCTGCCTCTCAATTTGCCCACAAGGAAATTCTTCGTGGGCCTCAAGATCTTTACCCTAAAACAGTGATGCCGAATTTCACCCTGGCAATGAAAATTGATAGCTTATCTTCACAGGTGTGGAAAAAAGAACAGAACTGGAAGCCATCCCTTTGCTCACCTGAGACAAATGCACATCTGATTGCTTCCTCTGCCCTACTGTTTATGTAAAAACGCAGTCACTGAGCCAGACTAAGGCATAAGTGACTACTTCTCTACCCACCCCCTCACGTGTAAATTGTGTATTTAGTGAAAGGTTGATCAAAAGAATGCAACTTTTGTCTCTTATCTTCCTATTACCTGGAAGCTCCTGCTTTGAGTTGTCCTGCCTTTCCAGACTGAAAAAAATGTATATCTTAAACTTATTGATTGATGTCTCATGCCTTCCTAAAATGTATAAAAGCAAGCTGTACCCTGACTCTGTTGGGCACAAGTCGTCAGGACCTCCTGAAGCTGTGCCACGGGTGCGTTCTTAACCTTGGCAAAATAAATTTTCTAAATTGATTGAGACCTGTCTCAGATACTTTTGGTTCACAACTATATGCAGAATTACTATGCTCTAATTTTCTCTAAACATTTTTATTAATGTTTAGAGAACATTATTAAGGGTTGGTTTATTAATACGGTGGATGAGATTACTAGCTCTCCTTGCTGGCTACAGAGCCAGTAGTTTTATCCACTGTATTAGATTAACCCTTTAAAATGCTCAGAAAAAAACTACTTAGAGCATAATAACCCTTGGAACACAACCTGGTTTGTAGAAACTGTTTGAAAATCTCACCAATTCACTGTTAAGTCTGTGTAGACCGAAACGATTTTTACTGGGCTCTTTTTGTAGGTCATCTTTCTCCAAATTATATTAAAGCATTAGATTCTGCTCTTTATCTACTCTTTATGAAGCGCTTCATACTTCCACACTACTATTCTATATTTACTTTTTTTCAGTTCTTCATTCTTTTTTATTCTTGATGAGTAGTATTCTATTGCTTAAGTGAGGCCAATTTTGTTTAATCTTTGATTGACAGATATTTGGGTTGTTTCCACATTTTAGGTATTATGAATACAGCTGCTATAAGCATCTTTAGACGTTTTTGGTGGATGTATAAACCATTTATTTGGAGTATGCAACTAAAAGTGAAATTGCTCGCTCAAAAGGAGGTCTAGTTTTACTAGAAATTGCAAGAGATTCAACTTATGAGTGCTCCAATTGCTCCTCATTTTTACCAATACTTAGTGTTGTCAGTGCACTTAATTTTAGCTTTTCTAATTAGTTTATATTGTTAAATTGTTACAGTTTAAACTTTCATTTACCTAATGAATAATAATGTTGAATAATAATAATAAACCTTTTCATATGCGCATTGACCCTTTGTCTACCTCTTGCTGTACACGGCCTGTTTAAACCCTTTGCTTGTATTTTTCATGAGTTGGTTTTCCTTTTTATGGATTACGGGGCTCTCTTTGTCAGATATATGCATTGTGAATGTTTTCTCTGTGACTTGACTTTTCACTTTTGTATTGGTCTCTTTTGAAGGAGATTTTTTTTTATTTTAATGAAGATCAATTGTTGATCTTCTTTTATATTGTGGCTAATGACTTTTGTGTCCTGTATAAGAAATCTGCTTTCCCTGAGTTCATAAAAATATTACTGTACTTTTTAAAGAAGCTCTATAGCTTTAGCTTTCAAATTTAGGTTTATTTTATACCTCAAATAAAGATATTTTACTTTGAGGTAGAAGGTGAGTTTCACTTTGTTTTTTTCATACTGATTTCTAATTGTTCTAGCACCATAAAAACATTGTTCTGTCACTGAATAGAATTGATTCATCTATTGAAAATTGATTACTGGCAGTGTGTGGTGGCTCCTGCCTGTAATCCTAGCACTTTGGGAAGCCAAGGCGGTGGATAGCTTGAGCCCAGGAGTTTGAGAGCAGCCCAGCTGGGCAACATAGCAAGACCCCATCTCTAAAAAATAAATAAATAAATAAATAGAAAGAAAGGAAAAAAGGAAAATCAATTACTGATACATTTAAAGCTATTTCCGGTTTCTTTATCAATTTTTCAATAATGTATTGATCTATTTTTCCATAAATACAAGGCCATCTTTAGGGTAAGTGTCTAGATAAACAATTTCATTAAAACTATTTAAAAGTCCACTGGTGCATACAACGTATAACTATTTATAAATGATGACATAAAATAATAGATTAACATGGTGGCAGGCACCTGTAATCCCAGCTACTTGGGAGGCTGAGGCAGGAGAATCTCTTGAACCCAGATAGCGAAGTTTGAACAATGGATTAAAATGTACTTATTGGTATATTCATTTTCCAGGACTCCCATATATATATATATATACATACACACACACACACTCGCACATATACATACATATAAATATATACATAAAATATCTGTGGAAAAAAAAAAGAAAATCTCAGGATGCCAAATTTACTATGCCAAAAGGAAAAAGTTAAGCCCAGAAGCTAAATTACACACACACACATCTGCCTTTCCTTTTGTTTCTAAACATAGTTACAGAAAGAAGGCTATATGTCTCCACAGAAGGCCTCCCTCACCCTGACAATGTAAATTAACAGCCTGTCTTCACAGGTCCATGTTAAGAGGAAACTAGAAATCATCCCCCCATCCACCCTGAAACAAATACTTATTTGACTGCTTCCTCTACTCTATGCGTATCTTATGTCAAGTGCGATTTAATGAGTGTGAAATAAATACATAGATTGTTCCCTCTATCCAACCCTTTGCACCTGCAACATACTGGATTCGGTAGCCTAATCAAAGCCTCACAAGAATGTGATCATATCCTACCTCTTTTTTTCTTTCCCCTTCTCCTTTCTGCCTACTTTTCCCCTTGAATCATTGAAGCCCTCAAAATCCTCTTCAGAAAAAGTACAGGCCACGCGTTCTACTGTGGCTGTCTGTCTTCCCTAGGCATGTCACCTCAACCTTGGCAACATAAACCTCTAAATGGATCGAGACTTGCCTCAGTCATTTTCTTCAGTTTCACATGTCTATCTCTTTATATAGTACAAATGCATTATATATGTCTATGTAATATTTATGTTACATATTATATACTACATATACACATATATTACACATATACATATACATATATATATACACACACCAACATATTTCTACATAGATATGCTGAATTGTCTCAGAATTCTCATGTCAATATCCCCAAAAACCTTTTTTTCCAACAAAAGTTTCTTTCTAAACATCCTTTCTGCCCTGCCTTTGTAACCCTGCAATTGCAGATTGGCGTGACTATAAGTTTATCGTAACCAACCTTTATTGGGCTCTCAAAACTGCCCAGAAATCTTGGTACATTCCAGTGGAAACTGGGCTTCGACAAACAGCTGTGAGCCACATTTAGAGTCCTCAGTGCATCCTGGAGAGGTACCAGTTTTGGAAAGACTCAAATGATGAGGGGCCTCTGGGAAGATCAATCAGAAAAATTCTGACATTTCTACTATATACTCCTTTCACCTTGAAATCCCCTACTAAACTTAAAAAGTAGTGTGGGTAGTCTGATAAATGCTTTCCACAAGAGCCCGGGTCATGCCTGCTTAGAGTCAAGTGGCATTTGGGACTGTGGAAGAGTCAGAAATGAAACACCACAGGTCCTATCCTGGATGTCATATTCTGTTGAAAGAGAAAAGTGCCCCTAAAAAAGCAGGAAGAAAAAGAAGGCAGAGGGACCTGAATTTTATTCTGCTTCCAATATACTAAGAACGTCACATACCGAAGATAAAGGAAATAAACAACAAAAAGAAATAAAGAAAAATGATTTGCAAAGAATGAAATCATGTATTTTGCAGCAACATGGATGGAATGAGAGGCCATTATCCTAAGCAAATTAACTTAAAGCAGGAACAGAAAACCAAATACCACATGTTCTCATTTACAAGTGAAAGCTAAACATTGTGTACACATGGACACAAAGAAGGGAACAACAGACACTGGGACCTACTTGAGCGTGGAGGTTGGATTGAAGGTGAGGATAAAAAACTACCTATTGAGTACTGTACTTAACAACTAGGTGATAAAATAATCGGTACACCAAACCCCTGTGACATGCAATTTGCCCTGTAACAAACTGGCATAGGTACTCCCTGAATCTAAAATAAAAGTTGAAAGGAAACATTAAAAGAAAAAGAAAAATAATTTGAAGCCAGAAATTCCAATGTACAATGTCAGCCTGATCTCCAAAATAATATTTTGAATATTTCCTGTATACCTGGACTCTCTACAACAGAAAATGGTACTTCTGATTTTGTAGGCTGATAGATGAAAAATGATGACCTTTGTGACCTTGATCATTACCATCTATCATATACATATTGATGTAAACCTGATAACCTTGGTAATTGTATCCATGTAAATGTATGTTGCACTTTGTATTTTGTTCTAGTCTGACAGATTGCACTCCTCGCAAACAAATCGTTCTTTGCATGCTTATATGTTTTCCTTTCTCAAATCTTCCTCAGTGTTTAGATTAAAAACATTAGATTTAAAAATCTGGATTCGGTACTGAAACAGAGGAAGCTCTGTGTAGGCCTTCACTGTTCAGATTGAGTGAAGAGGGCCTTCCGGCCTAACAAAGTTTCAGAACTGACTATGGCATGGTCTTCTTTGGAATTCTTTTCACCTATCTGGATAATCACGCACTCAGAGGTGAGGGGTCTCACAACCACAGCTACCTTAGTAAACACTGATACTCTAATCGATGCTCAACATCCTCATTAACCCCACACTCCTTGTATATACATACTCATGTACACACTCTATGTGCAAACTCACACTGCCAGGTATGTAGCTAGGCATGTGCCTTCACAGAATGTGTGTATTCAATAACCTTGAACTCATAGCATGATGGTAGCACACTAATGATACATACTTAAAGCAAATTATGATTCATAATTTGATATACACTTACGCTTATTCACACAAATACTCCTCTTATATGCAAATTCAGTGCCTTATACATGTGTTTATTAACATATCTCTCAGATACACACATCGACTCGACTTACATATCAGCAGTTTCATATTGTACAAAATATCCCCTGAATTATAAATATATGTACTCCGACTAAAAAAAAAAATACATGCATACAGATAAAATCACATTCATACAATCTCAACAACACACCTTTTTTGCACAAGCATTCAAATCCCCTGCCTTCCTACTTCTGTATACAGAGGAGAGAGGAAAGGGATGGGTTAATGCTTCAAGCTCTAGTCTCCAGTCTCAGAAGGAAGCCAGTGTGCATGTGAGGCACTGGAAATCAGGGGAGTGAGAAAACTAATACTTAAAGGTCGGAAACGTCCAGACATAACCCTTTAAATATGCCTTGATCTGAGGTCTCTGCCAAAGGCTGAATTTCAGAACTCCTTCTGGCCATGCCATGCTTGGTTAAAGACAGAGTAGAGGTCTGGGTGAGTGATCATCTGTACTTCAGGCACCTCTGCCCATCACAGAAAGCATTAGGAGTCATAGAGCTCCCAGAAGCAGGAAGGCCAATGCAATGGCCTAACTCAATGGGAGCTTCAGGTCTACAGATCCAAGACTACTGATCTTCATTCTAAGAATGGGAGAAGACTCAGTGCTTCCACTGTGTCCTCCAGGGAGACCTGAGAAAGGTAGGAATACTGCCTCCACACACAACATTTCCATAAGAGGTGGCTCTGAACCCCACACTGCTCCAGCATTATTGCTCTATGCCTTATTTTCAGATACCTCAAAGTGAAAAAACAGCTTCCTAGAAGCTATTCCTTAGCAAAATCTCTCAGTTGATTTTATCTTCTATTCCCTCACTGGCTTGAGCAACACAGCTGACTGATGAACTTAACTATTCTCACATAATGGGTGAGATCATTGAAATCCAACAGAGCCAGTGGGTGTTATAGTTGGAATCAAACCCAGTCTGACAGGTGAAAACTGAGCTCCACTCAGTGTGATAATACAGTTCTTGTAACCACATTTATATAACAAAACCCTACATGGAGGTTTTACAAGTTGATTTTATTTTGGGAAACAGAAAAATTAAATCTGACGTTAAACGTGTTATGTCCTTAGTTATAGTGTTTGAAAATGACATGATTTCATGTCAACTTTCAGTATGTACTATGTTCATAAGAATTCTAGCCTGTGGAGGGGAACAGATTTAAAAGCAGTGTTGGGGAGAAAGAAGTACTAGGGAAGAAGAGAAATTATATGGTTCTTTCTTTTCCTACCTTTTAGAGAATGTACATTCCATTTCTCAACACAGCAGCAAGCTGACAACCTGTGCTTCCTATGTTGAAAACCTCACATGCTGGACAAAAATGGCTAAGTATTGGTTAATTCCATGTCCACTCCACATGCCTTGAAGCATTAAGTCTGCCTGTGTTATGTTCATAAGTCTGTGAGAAAAGGAAGATAAGGGAATCACTGACAGTGACGGCACTAGATTCCGTAGGTCAGCAGAGGAAAATGGAGAGAAGAAAGGGAGGCACCTGTCAACAGTCCCCATCTCTCAATTCAGTCTTGGATACCAGGGCAGCCCTGCTCCTCCATTGTCCACCAAAAAAAAAAAAAGAAAATCTGAGAGCAGAAAAGCAGAGCAAGCAGAATGGAATGAGGAAGGCTGAGAGACATAACTTCATGGGGAAGCTCTGCCCTGTGAAAAGCCTACTGGGGAGTCAGAAGTATGAGTGAATGGGAAGACAGAAACTGGTTTGTAAAGGGGCTATAGAATACAGGTAGCTGAAACATGGCTGAGGAGAAACTCATCACTTCCTAAGGAGGGTGCAGAACAGGAGAGTTCTCCATTAAGGCTCATGGGCAGAATACATTAAAGATGTCCTCCCCGAGAAATCAGCACACACCCAGAGTACCAGGAGGCCAAGCTGGAGACTGTGCTAGAGGCTCCAGTCCAGTGAAGTAGCAGGGATCCTGGGTCCAAGTTCAGATCTTCCTCTAATTCAGCATGCAGTTGTGCACACCCCCTTCATGTTTGCCTTTGTCATGATAGGACAGCAAACTCTGCTTTCCCCAACCTGGGCAGGAGTCTGAATTGTTATCTAGCACAGGCAGCATGGGTACCACCAAGAGCACTGGCTGCAAAGTCATGCACCTCGATACTTAGTTGCTGTGTGATCTTGTGCAGATCACATAACTAGTCTGAACTCTGTTTTCTCATTGTTATAGGAGGATGCAGAGGTTTTGTGTGAGTTAGAAACAATAAAATTTGGGCTGGGCATAGTGGCATATGTCTTTAATTCCAGCACTTCGGGAGGCCAAGGCTGGCTGGTCACTTGAGCCCAAGAGTTTGAGACACGCTTGGGTAACATAGTGAGACCCTGTCTCTATTAAAAATACAAAAAATTTGCTGGGCGTTGTGGTGCGTATCTGTAGTTCCAGCTACCCAGAAGGCTGAGGTGGGAGGATCACCTAAACCCAGAAGTTCAAGGCTAGAGTGAGCTGTGATCACACCATTGCACTCCAGCCTGGACAACAGAGTGAAAGCATGTCTCAAAAATAAAAGAAAAAGAACAAGCAAATAAACAAATTTTTTATCATTTTTTAAAAATTATACTTTAAGTTCTAGGGTACAAGTGCACAATGTGCAGGTTTGTTACATATGTATACATGTGCCACGTTGGTTTGCTGAACCCATCAACTCATCATTTACATTAGGTATTTCTCCTAATGCTATCCCTCCCCCAACCCCCCACCCCCAGACAGGCCCCCAGTGTGTGATGTTCCCCACCCTGTATCCATGTGTTCTCGTTGTTCAACTCCCACCTATGAGTAAGAACATGCGGTGTTTGGTTTTCTGTCCTTGTGACAGTTTGCTTAGAATGATGGTTTCCAGCTTCATCCATGTCCCTGCAAAGGACATGAATTCATCCTTTTTTATGCCTGCATAGTATTCCATGGGGTATATGTGCCACATTTTCTTAATCCAGTCTATCATTAATGGACATTTGGGTTGGTTCCAAGTCTTTGCTATCATGAATAGATGCTGGAGAGGATGTGGAGAAATAGGAATGCTTTTACACTGTTGGTGGGAGTGTAAATTAGTTCAACCATTATGGAAGGCAGTGTGACAATTCCTTAAGGATCTAGAACTAGAAATACCATTTGACCCAGCGATCCCATTACTGGGTATTTACCCAAAGGTTTATAAATCATGCTACTCTAAAGACACATGCACACGTAAGTTTATTAAAAAAAATTGTTTAAGTCTATAGTGCTAAGTCTCCAAAAATAACAATTATTTATTTATTTATTTTTTAAATTTTACTTTAAGTTCCGGGATTTGGCCAGCACCCCTTATATTGCCTCGTACAGCAATGAGGATGGTCTGGGTATGCATTTCAAGGTACCCCTGAAGCTGGGGGACTGTCCCCACGACAATTTGAGGGTGATATACAGGGGCAAGTGACAGAAAGACTTCGGCTCAAACAGAATATACAAAACAGCTTGGAAAGTCTGGGACAGGCAAAGGGGGACAGAGATATAGGTGGACCCCGGATATAGGTGGTTTTGAATTTTTACCATACTCTACATACAAGTATTTGTTTTGAGCAAACCTATATCTTATTCTCTGGCAGGATGGTCAAGATTCCAGTTTAAATCTAGACTTATAAAGTCTGAGCCCTATTTCTCCCAGTCTGTTATAAATCTTGAGAGATTTATCAGTGTGCTGTATTCAGGAGACCCATCTCACGTGCAGAGACACACATAGGCTCAAAATAAAGGGATGGAGGAAGATTTACCAAGCAAATGGAAAACCAAAAAAGGCAGAGATTGCAATCCTAGTCTCTGATAAAACAGACTTTAAACCAACAAAGATCAAAAGAGACAAAGAAGCCCATTACATAATGGTAAAGGGATCAATTCAACAAGAAGAGCTAACTATCCTAAATATATATGCACCCAATACAGGAGCACCCAGATTCATAAAGCAAGTCCGTAGAGACCTACAAAGAGACTTAGACTCCCACACAATAATAACGGGAGACTTTAACACCCCACTGTCAACATTAGACAGACCAACGAGACAGAAAGTTAACAAGGATACCCAGGAATTGAACTCAGCTCTGCACCAAGCGGACCTAACAGACATCTACAGAACTCTCCACCGCAAATCAACAGAATATACACTCTTCTCAGCACCACATCGCACTTATTCCAAAATCGACCACATAGTTGGAATTAAAGCACTCCTCAGCAAATGTAAGAGAAATTTAGGAAAAGATAAGGCCTTTGGGGGATCTTGAAGAAATTCTTTTCAGGATTTTTTTTTTTCTAGTGAATGAGACATGTATTAGTTCCAAGAGGTGATGGGTATTTAAATGCATACTTTTCTTGCCCAGGTGTTTCTCTTTTGAAGGTGGTAAGAACTGAGGCTTTCAAACAAAGCACAGGCAACTGAGTTTAGTGAAAAAGTGTTGGGTAAGAACAAAATGAGCTTTGTGCCATCGATTCTGAGATTGATAGTGATCACCAAAAAACTCAAAGAGTGGAATAAACTCAGGTAAGATGAATAGAGACAGACAGTGGGGCTCACACAGTATCTACTGTAGCAGGGCAACCTCTATGGCCTCAAGGTAGTCAATAGGGCTCTGTCTGGGTATTTAGAATATTGTTAATCAGTTAATGAGTCTGCTGCCTTTGAATAATGACATTTATTTGCTACTTTCCTCAGGAATATTTTATTAAATTCCTACTCTGCACCAAGCACAGAGATGCTAGAGATAGTGTGGGGTTCACAGCTGACTTCATGAAAAATTCCTCTTCTAGGACAGAGGTTGGCAAACTATAGCCTGGAAACCAACACCTGCTTGCAACCCATTTTTGTAAACAAAGGTTTATTGGAACACACCACACTCACACATTTATGTGTTGACTATGGTTACTTTCACACTACAATGGCTGAATTGATCTGCTGCAACAGACAGTATAGGCCACAATTTCTCAAAATTTTGTGATCTCACTTTTTAAAGAAAAAAAGTTTGCTAACTTCTTGTCTAGGAGAAACCTACACTAAAGATAATAAATTAAATTATAAATGTACAATTGGTCAGTAGATTAACTTCCCACCCAAGCCCTTGTGGTAACTGACCTAGATTCAAAGCTAACTTCAAAGCAATACATAAATTGCTATAGGCTTGCAAACTCTACTGACTTCCTACTCTGAGAAATTGGCCAAGTGGCTAACCAGAGGTTTAAAAAGGACCTGTGGAAAAGTTTAAGCTAATCAGCTGTTAGTTCTATAGAACTGAAGAGCAAGAATTACTATAATATTACTTGTCATGATGATTTTCCCTTAGCAGATGCTACTTTCAAGAAAAATATTGATTCATTTTTTTTTTTTTTTTTTGAGGCGGTTTCGCTCTGACACCCAGGCTGGAGTGCAGTGGTGTGAGCTCAGCTCACTGCAACGTCCAACTCCTGGGTTCAAGTGATTTTCCTTCCTCAGCCTCCTGAGTAGCTGGGACTATAGGCGTGCTCTACCATGCCTGGCTAATGGGGTTTTTTTTTGTTTTGTTTTGTTTTTGTATTTTTAATAGAAAAGGGGTTCCACTATGTCAGCCAGGCTGGTCTTGAACTCCTGACCTCAAGCAATCTGCCTGCCTCAGCCTCCCAAAGTGCTAGGATTATAGGTGTAAGCCACCACACCTGGTCAAGAAAAATATTGATTCTTAAAAAACAGTTACACATGCAACTAGTATGTTCTACCCCATTTTGAATGACATAAGTACGAAAAACAACAGTAACATCATGTCATGTTGTAACATATTATTTATTAAAACAGTTGAAATTATTCTAGTTTATAATCAAACCCAATCACCCTGGTATCCAATAGTCCCATCCAAAAGCCTTGTATATAATAATAACACTTGTTTTGATTGTTATCATCTGCAGAGAGTAGATTGCGTTCCCAGCAGAGACCATATTAACCAGTCCATGGTGCTGGCTTCAGGGAACAGCTCTTCTCATCCTGTGTCCTTCATCCTGCTTGGAATCCCAGGCCTGGAGAGTTTCCAGTTGTGGATTGCCTTTCCGTTCTGTGCCACGTATGCTGTGGCTGTTGTTGGAAATATCACTCTCCTCCATGTAATCAGAATTGACCACACCCTGCATGAGCCCATGTACCTCTTTCTGGCCATGCTGGCCATCACTGACCTGGTCCTCTCCTCCTCCACTCAACCTAAGATGTTGGCCATATTCTGGTTTCATGCTCATGAGATTCAGTACCATGCCTGCCTCATCCAGGTGTTCTTCATCCATGCCTTTTCTTCTGTGGAGTCTGGGGTGCTCATGGCTATGGCCCTGGACTGCTACGTGGCTATCTGCTTCCCACTCCGACACTCTAGCATCCTGACCCCATCGGTCGTGATCAAACTGGGGACCATCGTGATGCTGAGAGGGCTGCTGTGGGTGAGCCCCTTCTGCTTCATGGTGTCTAGGATGCCCTTCTGCCAACACCAAGCCATTCCCCAGTCATACTGTGAGCACATGGCTGTGCTGAAGTTGGTGTGTGCTGATACAAGCATAAGTCGTGGGAATGGGCTCTTTGTGGCCTTCTCTGTGGCTGGCTTTGATATGATTGTCATTGGTATGTCATACGTGATGATTTTGAGAGCTGTGCTTCAGTTGCCCTCAGGTGAAGCCCGCCTCAAAGCTTTTAGCACACGTTCCTCCCATATCTGTGTCATCTTGGCTCTTTATATCCCAGCCCTTTTTTCTTTCCTCACCTACCGCTTTGGCCATGATGTGCCCCGAGTTGTACACATCCTGTTTGCTAATCTCTATCTACTGATACCTCCCATGCTCAACCCCATCATTTATGGAGTTAGAACCAAACAGATCGGGGACAGGGTTATCCAAGGATGTTGTGGAAACATCCCCTGAGCAAAGGGTCAGTGTATCCCCATCACTTACATTGCCCCACTAATGTGGGGACATTAATGAACATTTGACAGGCTATTACTTATTATCACTAAGTCAGCTCTGTAAATAACTGGCTCAGAGGTAAGCAACCCTCTAGAGGCAAGAGAAACAATTTTCAGGGTACCTAGAAAAGAGATACCTGAGAGATGTGATGGATAAGAACAACTTTGTTGACTACATATTCATCATCACATGGAAACAATAAAAGTAGTTTTACCTATTAAATCAGTGAATATTTTAAAAGAATGTCATCTCCCACAGATGATTAAGGTAAAAAAGTTGTTTTTACACTGTCAGTAGAAGTAGGTACACTTTGCTTAAAAGAAATTTAGAAATTTACATCAAATAATTTAAAAGTACATATATTTCTTCATCTGAGAATATGTTTATAAAAATAAAGTGCATATGTACAAAGACATGCATAAAATCATGCCTTATAAAAACAAAATATAAAATGATTCAAATATTGTCCTATAAGATTACAGATGAAGCAATACTCTGTTGAATATCAGGTGCCATTTAACTATTTTATTTGAAAGGACTATCTGAAAATTTGACAAATAAGCAAGATATAATCTTAAATTGAAAAGAAAAACTATCGCCCATAAGGCTTGGTACCAATTCTATACTGGAATACGTACGTAAAGAAAGGAATTCAGGAAATATATCCAAATGATAAAAAATAGCTGCTTGGAGTAGTGATGCTTATGGCATTTTCATTATATTTTTATACTTTAGTGTATTTTTAAATTTAATTTAATTATGTTTTTATTGATAAAAATGATTTTACATATTTATGTGATACAGTGTGATGTTCACCTAGTACTTATCACAAGATGGCTTTTGCAGGTCCAGGTCCATTTTTATCTCATTTCTCCAAAATTGAATACAATACCATACCTCTCAGTCCCAAGGACTTCTTTTATCACCCTACATAATTAAAATTGTAAAGGATATTGTCAGATAAGATAAATTTGTTATACAGATAGCAAATTGTCCTCCAGTCACTTTTTTAATGAAAAATAAAATATTTGTAACATTTTAAATTTCTATTCAAGTAATATATTGAGCAATTACTCTTCACCTAGCATTCTGCCAAAAGGTGGGGATAGAATAGGGAACAAAAGAAACTGACAAACAGAACATCTAATTTGCATGATTTCCACCCAAAATCAAAACAATGAATACCTGCAATTCCAGCCCAAATATAGACATTAATTAGTTAAGCTGTATTACTCTATCATGATTGTAAGTAAACTTAAATATTCTGAACCAATGAAAATAGATGACTAACTTCATTATAACATGAAGAATCCTTATGTCCAAAATATAAAGCATATGACTAACTCAAATGTGCCTGTAGTTGATATGATTTGGACCTGGCTCCCCTCCAAATCTGTTGAAATGTGATTCCCAGTGTTGGAGGTGGGGCCTAGTGGGAGGGATTGGATCATGGGGACAGATCCTTCATGAATGGCTTAGCACTATCTCCTTGGTGATGAGTGAGTTCTTTCTCAGTTAGATCATGCGAGATCCGGTTATTTAAAAGAGTCCTAACTGGGCTCGGTGGTTCACACCTGTAATCCCAGCACTTCGGGAGCCGAGGCAGGCGGATCACGAGGTCAAGAGATCAAGACCATCCTAGACAACATGGTGAAACCCGGTCTCAACTAAAAATACAAAATTAGCTGGACATGGTGGTGCACGCCTCTAGTCCCAGCTACTTAGGAGGCTGAGGCAGGAGAATCGCTTGAACTGGGGAAGCGGAGGTTGCGGTGAGCAGAGATCATGCCATTGGACTCCAGCATGGGCAACAAGAGTGAAACTCCATCTCAAATAAATAAATAAATAAATAAATAAATAAATAAATAAATAAATAAATAAATAAAAAGTCCGGGACCTCCCCCTCCCCCTTCTCTCTCTCATTCCCACTCCTGCCATGTGATGTACCAGCTCCTCCTTTGTCTTCTGCCATGATTGCACACTTTCTGAGGCCTCACCAAAAACAAGCTGGCACCCATGCTTGTGCAGCCTGCAAAACTGGGACCTAATTAAACTTTTCTTTATAAATAACCCAGCCTCAGATATTTTTTTATCGTGATGCAATGGACTAACAAAGGAAATTTGTACCAAGTATAGGGTAGTTGCTGTAAAGACACCTGAAAATGTGGAAGCTGCTTTGGAACTGGGTAATGGGCAGAGGTTAGAAGAGTTCAGAGAACTCAGAAGAAGACAGGAAGACAAGGGAAAGTTTGGAACTTCTTAGAGACTGGTTAAATAATTGTGACCAAAATGCTGATAGAAATATGGGCAGTGAAGTTCATATGAACTTGAAGTGAAGAAATGAACTAAGTCCACATGAACTTGAAGTGAAGTGAAGAAATATGGACAGTAAAATCCAGGCTGATGAGTTCTCAGATGGAAATGAGGAAGCTATTGGGAGCTGGAATTAAGGTCATTTGTGTTGCACCCGAGCAAAGAGCATGGCTGCATTGTGTCCATGTCCTAGGGACCTATGAAAGTTTGAACTTAAAAGGGATGACTTAGTGTATCTGGAATAAAAAATTTCTAAGCAGCAAACCATGCAAGAGATGGCCTCACTGCATCTAACAGGCTACAATCAGATATAGGAGCAAATAAATGACTTAAAGTAGGAACTTATATTTAAAAGGGAAGGAGAGCATAAACATTTGGAAAAGTCACAATCTGGCAATGTGATAGAAGAGGAAAGAGCATTTCCAGGGAGGAAGTCAAGTAAGCTCTGGAGAAATCACTTGCTAGAGAGATTAGTATGACTATAAAGAAGCCAAGTGCTAATATCCAAGCCAATGGGAAAAAAGGTCTTGAAGGCATTTCAGAGTATTTTGAGGTAGTCCATCCCACCACAGGCCTAGAGGCCCAGGAAGAAAAAAATGGTTTTGGGGGCCAGGCCTAGGGACCACTCTCCTGTGTAGCCTTGGGACACTGCTCCCTGCATCCTGACTGCTCCAGCTACAACCATGGCTCAAAGGGCCCTAGGTGCAGCTTGGGCTGCCACTCTAGAGTGTGCCAGCTGTAACTCTTGGCAGCTTCCATGTGGTGTTAAGTCTGCAGGCACACAGAAAGCAAGCATGAAGGAGGCTTGCAGGCTTCCCCCTAAATTTCAGGGGATATACTGGAAAGCCTGAGTGCCTAGGCAGAAGCCTGCTGCAGGGGAAGAACACTAACAGAGAGACTCTAGTAAGCCAGCGCTGAAGGGAAATGTGGTGTCAGAGTGTCCACACAGTCTCCACTGGGCCACTGACTAGTGGACCTGTGGAAGGGGGGCCACTGCCCTCCAGATCCCAGAATAGTAGAGCCAACAGTAGCTTGCATCCTGAGCCTGGAAAAGCCACAGGTACTCAACTCCAGTCCATGAGAGCAGTCACAGGGACCACACCCTGCAAAGCTACAGGGGTGGACTTCCCAAGCTCCCAAGGAGCACACTTGTTGCACCAGTATATGCCCTAAATGAAGGACATGGAGTAAGGGGCGATTATTTTGGAGCTTTAAGGTTTAATGTCTGCCTGCTGGATTTCAGAATTGTGTGGGACTTATTGCCCCTTTCTTTTGGACAATTTCTCTCTTTTGGATTGGGAATATTTAACCAATGCCTGTACCACCATTGTATGCTGGAAGTAAATAACTTGTTTTGATTTTACAGGCTCATAGGTGAAAGGAGATGAGTCCCAGATGAGACTTAGGACTTTGGACTTGTTGCTGGAATGAGTTAAGACTTTGGGGGACTATTGGTAAAGGATGATTGTATTTTGCAACGTGAGAAGGACATAAAATTTGAAGTGCCAGGGCATAATGATACATTTTGGATGTTTGTACCCTCCAAATCTCATGTTGAAATGTGATCCCCAACATTGGTGGGAGGTAATTGTATCATGAGGGTCGATCTCTCATGAATGGCTTAGCACTATCTCCTTGGTGATGAGTGAGTTCTCCTTCAGTTAGTTCATGTGAGAGCTTCTTGTTTAATAGAGCCTGAGACCCCCCCCTTCTCTCTCCTGCTCCCATTCTTACCATGTGATGTGCCAGCTCTCTCTTTGCCTTCCACCATGATTGCAAGCATCCTGAGGCCTTGCCAGAAGCCTAGAAGACACTGGTGCCATGCTCGTACAGTCTGCAGCCTGAGCCAATTAAGTCTGTTTTCTTTATAAATTACCCTGAGGTAATTTTCTTAAAGTCTCAGGTATTTTCTTAAAGCAAAACAATGGACTAACAAGATAAACATTTACAGAAGCTATCAAGTGAGCTTGTTGACTGAGGGACTCCATTTTCCATTTGTAGGCGGGCAGAGACCTCACGGTGCCTTTCTTCCCTCAAATAAACAAATCTATAATCACAGTGACTAAGAAAAGGCCAGACAAAACCGTATTAAAGGCAGCTCCTGGTACATCAGCTTTTCGTGGTTTTCAAACATGACTTAGAACCAAACTGTGATGTCAGGGCTCCGTTTTAGAGTACTTTCCAAAAGGGGAAAGCTTCATCAGTATTTTCTACTCTGCACAGAGCCAAACATAATGTTATTATTTTTTCACACTCAAATCAACAAGCAATTTTTGACCAATAACTGTTTCTCCAGTGTAATGCTTAGTGCCTGGAATACAGAGCTAAAAGTTCACATCTCTTCCTTAGAACCCATCTCTGTGCTCCCACAGTATTTGTTCCATTCTGTTCTCATCATACCCACTTCCTCCTCTATGCCATAATGATCTGGTGTGTGTCAGCCTCCATGCTGTGCACACCATGAGAAAAAATGGTGCTTTAGTTACCTCAGATTTCAGCAAATCCTAGCAGAGTGCAGGCATCAATAAGTACATGCAAAGCAGTATGTTTCCGTTCAATGGAGAGTAGAGGCATGTCAGTAAAGACCTAAAATATAAACTTTCAATACTTTGCATTTTGAGTATTGTGTGTATTTATGCCATGTAGGTAGACCCGTGGTCTAGACCTCCCCTGGAAGATGATAAAGCCGAAGGCTGAAGGTGGGTGAGGTCCTGTAGTCCCACCTTGACATGAAAAATTTTGAAGTTTAGTCTTGGTCTGCTAATCCTGAAGTCACTGGCTCATCCTGCTCTGTCTTCTGAGGCCAGAGGTGGAAGGAAAGAAAGGTCCAGGTGATGTGTAAAGAGACTTTGCAGAGCTTGTCTCTTCCCTTCACCCCATCCCCACCCCTGATGAATCTGGACTGTCAGTCTTTGGTTTCCAGTTCTCAACATGTCTATCTTAAGTATGGGCCGTCGTAAAAGAGATTTGAAATTCTCTAGTTTTGGGAAGTCCTCCAGATGCCAGCCCTAATATTTCCCACAGGTCAATATGCAGAAAATGCATCACTGCATTTCAGCATGTGAAGTCAATGTAATCATCCAATTCCACTTTGTAGATGAGGAAACAGAAACCAAATAACATAAGTAGCACCTTTTGGATTACTTCTGACTCAGAAAGTATAATAGTGGCAGAGAATGGGAAAAACAAGCAAACAAATAAGCAAAAATCAGAGCTCCTGGGTAGGAATTAATTCTAAGAAATCAGCTAGAAGTCTTTCAAAAACTTTAAAGGAGATGTATAATTCCAAGGAGATGCTTACATTGTAATCCAAATTAATGATATCCCTGGAGTCGTGCAAAACTGTACCTAAGGGAAATATTAAAAAATAAATTTTATTTGGGCCAATTTCTGCTTCTTGAATGTGCCAGCTCCATTTGAAACCTCATGCTTTGAAAAGAGGATCAAGGCCTACAGGGAGGGGTTAGGGAAAGGATACCTTCTCACTGTATCTCCCCACTTTAATTGGTTTCCTGACTGAATAGAAAGGGCTCAGTGGATGTTTAAACCAGATTTGCAGCAGGAGTTCTCTTGCCACCAGAAACAGAGCAATCATAGTGCACAGTCTCTGCAGCAGGAAGGTGTGGGCAAGACATTAGGAAGGGAAAGTCCACTCATGAATGAGTAAATGTTGCTCCAGGAAAGGAATAGAGAAGCCTAACAAGTGGTAACATACGCTGTGGGCCAACTGGGATGTGGCTCGAGTTACCAACAGAACTTTATGAAGCTGGTTTTATTAAACACACATGGGATGAAAATTCATTCATTCATTCTTTCATTTCTTCAGGAACTTCATTGAATGCTTCAATGTGTCTTCTGTCTTACTAACCCTCAACAGTCATGTTTTGTAATTGTTTCTCAACTGATTATGAGTTTTTTGAGAGCTGCCACCAAATCACTCTTATTGCTGTATGCCCAGCACTTAGCAGCCTGGAATAGGGGAAGTGTTAAATATGACAAGTTTATTTGTTACATGAATAAATATGTGAATGATGAAAGCTGTGTTCTAAAGAGATCTCAGATAGGATTTTAAAAAGTGAGCAAGTCACTGTATTGGTTCTCTGGGAGCGCTCACTCTCACTGAGCAGGTGAGTACAGGAGCCCGAAGTGCACTGTTGTTTATGAACTCACTGACAATGGCAATGCTTCCAGGAGCAATTACAGAAGAAGTTAGCCCTGAGGTATTATCCTTTTCCCAAGGTTCCTGGACATTAGGGCTGAGATTGCCTTAGGTATAGCAAAGGAGGAGAAGCACTGCGGCAGCAGCAGGAGACCTGGCATCTCCCAGGAGTCCCAGCTCAGGCCTTTACTCAGTGTGTGACTGGAGAAATTCCCACCCTTCCCTGCCCAAGCAACTTTGTCTCTATTTCCTCTCTTCTCAGAGTAAAACAGTAATCACCTATCAGACCTGTCTACCTCCCAACACAGAGAAAGTATGTGTATATTAAAAGTCTGTATATTTATGAATTCCTTCTTGGAAGGGGTACTTGATACGAAAGATTTATTGATCAATGTCCTGAAACATCCAGAATGCAGCTATGTTGGGCATGGTGAAGACAGACTCTAACCACTGGACTTAGTCCTTACAATGTAGTCAGGAAAGATAGACTTGAAAACAGAACAGAAATGCAATACATGTACTTCAAGTAATATATTGACTTCATGAACAGGATACAAATGAGAAGGCAATTCTATCTGAGGATCAGAAACGATATCCCTAAAGAGGTAATGTTTATTCTGTATTGTAAATTGAGAAGTTTTAATTCATTAGATTGATAAACACGGAAAGGAAATTTAAAGCAGTGGAATCAGCATTGGCAAAGACAATGAGCCATAAGAGAACCAGGAGAAACAGCCAAGTTGCTTCTGAGACAAGCGATGCTGTAGAGCAACAGACAGGCTCTACTTTTCCCGGGAACTGCAGCTGTAGGTTACGTGACATAGCCATCTCCCACCTGTGCTTTAACTAAGGAATTCTGGGCAAACTCAGAGTGGCGACTTGTCCTGTTGAAACTCTTAGGAAAAAATAATGGGCTCCAAAGGGAAAAAAAGGAAACTCTGACGCATAGAACTGGCCCCAGTTCAAAGAGGCAGAATCATGAAAACCATCTTTAGGATGCTATAAAGAAATGAAAACAATGTAAGAATAATGTGGCTGATTGTTAGGTCTCTCTCTCTCTCTCTCTCTCTCTCTCCCTCTCTCTCTCTTTCTCTCTCCCTGTCCCCTTCGTCCTCTCCCACCATCTTCTTGATTTTTCCAATTTATTTTAATTTCATGTGCATAAAATAAAAGAAGGTTTAGACCTGCCCACAGGCATAATAAAGTAATTTTTTTAGATGTAATTGACTTTTATGTGGAAACAAAGGACAAGTGTTCTTATGTTTAATGTTTAATGTAGCATTTAATGTGACTCATTTCCATTTGGACATTTAACCTTTGAAATGCTTATTCTTCATTCTATAAATTTCGGCTTGTGATTGATAAACATTATTGAAACTGGATGTAGCCCAATTTTGTTAGGTTTAATTGAGTAAAAAATGTGTGTTGATTTACATATGATACGTAGTTTCCTGTTCAGACAATTTTCTAATCACTTGGCCCTCATAATTCCCAATCTTTTCGGAAATAATATGTGTTTATTACTTGGTTGGTCTCTTCAGAGGATAGGTTTCTCCCCCAAATGTTAGGGCAGCAGTCATCCTCTGATACCACCATTGGGATCTAAAGCCCCCACCCCACACAACACACACCTGCTTCTTGTGTCTTTCCAGGGTGGCAGATTTCCCAATTCTGGATCCGTTTCCTGTGCTTTATCAGCTGTTGTTGTGGCTGCTGTATTTAATATTGCCCTTCTTTCATGTGACCTGCATTAACTACTTCTAGGAACACATATATTTCTTTCTGATGCTTCTAAGTTTGATGAGTGAGGTGGTCTTACACATAACCTAAGACATTATCCTTTTATTGGTTCTAAGCCCATAAATTCAACTTCTATAGCTGCCTGAACCATGCTAGTCTGATTCATTCATACTCTCTCCCATGTTGGTCAGAGGTGGTCATGAGATGTTCCCATCTGGACAGTAGAGGTGTTCATCTGCTTTCCACCTCACCCTGCCATTTTGCAGGGTGTTGACCGTTCTTGGCTGTCAAGCCGAGAACAGTTGTGATGATGCAGAAAATAACATATATGGTGATCTATTTTCAAGACAAAGTACATGGAATAGGCCTGGACCTGCAAACTATGGAAGAACAGGATACTCTAGGCCTCTGCTTTAATAGCCAGCACCTGCTTGTCGGGACTGCTTGGTTACCCTCACCCGAACCAAAGGGTTTAGCTTAGAATGAGAGTTTACTAGCTTGCAAAATAGCCCACCTTATCTATTCCTAACAGTTTGCCTAACCGCCTGGGTCATAGGTCAAATACCTAAAGAGTCCCTGAGCTGACAATGATTGCAATGCATTATAAGCTGCAACAAAATGCAGTGAGAAGACCCTAAAGAAAATACCTAAAGCTCCAACCCAACGACCAATAAAGACCAAGAAAAGAAATATATGCAACATCCAGGAAGATTGCAACCTCATAGTACTCAACCTATGAGGAACTAGGTGGGGGACTTGCATACTAGGGGATAAATTGCTTGTTGTAACTGTACCAGGTATGCCTGCTCACCAGAGACCCGATCTTGCAAGACCTCCATTAAAAGCCTCGTATCTATTGTTCTCCTTGTCTCTGAGTCTATTCTTTGGGTTTGGACAGGTGAGTGTGTTTCTCACAATGACACAGAGTGTACTGTGAATGAGCCCTTTTGCTTCATGTTCTCCTAGATGCCCTTCTGCCTCAGCTAGATCTTGCCCTAGACCTACTATGAGCAAGTGGTCATGCTGAATCTGGTATGTGCAGACATCACATATATAGTCCGTACCTGTGGTCTCTTATGGCCTTTTCTGTGGTTGGATTTGATATATTTGTCATTAGAACCACAGATATCAGACATTGCAGGCTGTACTGTAGCTACCTGCAGAGAATCTCTGCCCAAGGTATTTAGCATATATGCCTTCCACATTTGTGTCACCCTGTTCCTGCACATCTCAGTATTCTACTCCTTTTTCTCTTGTTGCTTTTGCTACCATACACTCACAGTGATTCCCATCTCCTTGCTCATCCTTTACTCATTAGTGCCTTCCATGTTCAATACCATCACCTGTGGGGTAAAGAGTAAGCATATCCAAGAAAACATGGTACAGAGATTTTGTGGGAAAATTTCCTGCCATAGAATCACCAACTTGATTTTCTTTATTCCTGTTAATCAAGGACCAAAGACGTATAAATAACCAAATTCATCCCAAGCTGTTATTAAATTTTATTTAAGGAAAATTTCATGAAATAATCTATGTGAGTAATTCTCAGGATGTAAACCCTTGAAGAGCAAGGATCCAGGAAACTATGGCATGAAAAATGTAATGCTTCCCTATTCAAGTACTGTTTTTAAAATGCTGTCTAATTTATCATGATTCCACACAGACATAGAATGTCTTAGGAAAATGGATAGAATAATCCTACATTCTGGATTTTCCTAAGACTACCTTGACTCTTCATTTACGTTAATTAGAGCAAGCAAAATTCATTGAATTATTAATTTATTTATAAGTCTCTCGTTTTTTATCAATTTGTAAAAGCCACAAGTTTTAGTTGATACAAAAAAAATAGAAACACCAAAGAGTTTGGTTGCTTCTGTGTTCCTCAAGGAGATTTGCACCAGAGACTGAGTTCTCACAGTAAAGAACTAGGGGTAATATCCGATGAAATTACAGGGGAGACATCATCTCAATTTATTTATAATACCTGGAACTATAGTTACATCAAAGGGTGATTATAAAATTAAATGAGATTATTTATGTAAAAGTAGGAATACAAATAGTCTTGTTGTAGATACTGCTTCTAAACACACCCGCCCATTCAAATGGGTTATTGGAATCACATGGGTTTAATTATCAGTAAGATAGGTCACTTAAATCTGTTACTTAAGTCTTGTTTCACTTGAGATAATCACTCTAATTTTAGTTGCTTGTTTTTACTGATACAAACGTAAGAGAATATGCTCATTTTATAGAGCAATAATAAAATAAAACATATAAAATAACTATCAATTGGCTGGCCATAGCAAGTATCCAGTAAATTCTGATACAACGAATACACAACAACACATATAATCCCCGCTCCTTCTTCTTTTCTCTGTATGTCCACCTAAAGACCTCTGACCAACCTCAGGCAGCTAAAGGATCACTGTTTTCCCAACTGTAAGCCATGTATGTGATAACAGAAGTTCATGTTCTACCCAGACAATAGGATTGCTTTTCAGTTTTTGATTTTTAACTCTCTATCGGATTTTCGTGTTTTCTAATGACCCAAGTACTATTGATAAGTAGTGCATTCTACTGAGGGGTGTGTGTTCTCTTATTCTGACCCAAGACAGTGAAAATGGATATTGCTTCTCTCATTCTTTCCTCAGGACAACAGAGAAAATCTGCATAACCCACAAACAAGGCTCTTTACTCTCAAAGTCACTTAAAATGATCAAACTAGACATTCTAGTGACCTGGTGGTTCTTGTCAAAAATCTCTCTCCCTAAATATGTTGCTAAGGGTTTGTTAGGGGCTGGAGGGAGGGCGATAGGGTGTTTTGTACTTAGGCCCGTTAAAAACTCTTCCTTTTTAAGAGAGAAGTTGCCTCCGAAGGAAATAATTCCATAATTATCATTATTTGCTATTTGTGTTTTCTTTCAGGTTGTGTCTGTCTTTGTGAACTGAACTGTGAGTTTGTGTTAGTGTGAGCACATCCTTTTTTTTTTTTGAGTCAAACACTTGTACTTTTCAAGTATAGACTGTTATTATTGTTATCAGTATACTAACTTATTAAACCCTCTTGTCACTTCTATAAAGTATTGTTGCTATTATCTCCATTGTACAGATAAGATGAGGAATATGAAGCATATATTAATTAATTTGAGCATGGCTACACAGCTAGTAGGTAAAATCCAGGATTTGAACTCAGGCTATAAAATCTCACAATCTACTACATTATGCTTTTCTAAAGACCCAAAGAAAACCTAAACAATTAGATAGGGTGATTGCTAGAAAAACAACAAGCAGATAGCAGAGGGAGAAGTTAAGCTGGGAAGGACTCGGGGTGAAGTGATTCCTACTGGGAAGCAGGAATCTGAGAAAAAAGAAATCTGGAACCCAACACTGGACACAAGCACAGGGGACCTAGTCCTAGAGCCCAAACTTTTTGAAATACTCAATTCATTATATATTATTTTGCATCTTGCACTTTTCTAAGAATTATAGCCATAGAGAAATGGAGAACTCTACACTCTTAAGAACCTCACAAGAGAAATAAGACAAAATAAATTGCAACAGTAAGAGCAAAAGCTGGTAAAGGTAACAAGGCAGGAACAATTTGTTGTGATAGTATTAACAATATAATGACCCAAGAGAGTGATCTAAAATACAGAGAAATTAGGCAGCTGCTTTGCACTAGACCTAGGGTACACAGTGGGAGCTTGATCAGGAGAGATGAGGGCAAGACCTCAACACTCCAACAGAGATCAAGGTTCGGGCACAACTAAGTTAGTAAAACTCTCTTAAATGATGGGTTATAGAGTCCTCTACTAGGAAAAAAAATTGGTCTCCGACTTGGATAAGATGTCAATCAGCAGTCTTATTGGAATCTAAAGGATTAATTCAAAGAATGAGCCCAGCTGCCTAGCCTGGAATATTATGTCCCACTTCTGTTCATAGCCGCAACTATTAACCACTGTACTTGACTGCATTGCAGGCATTTGAATCTATTTAGCCTCCTGTGGTAGATTCTCAGATTCTAAAAGCACAAATTGTGGCCTCTTTTATTTATGTACGCTTCAGATTTATCAGGGCTTGGCACACAGTAGGTGCTCAAGAAATGATTATTGATTGATGAGACAATTGAGAATAACCGATACAACAAGCAGGATGTTGGAATATTAGGTTTTTTAAATATAAGGCAGCATAATGTACTTCGAAGGTAGCAGTTAAGATATAATTAGAAATGTAAGAGACGTTTATATACAAAGTTCTGAATGTATACCACTTATGAGATACATTATTTGAAGGTCTTAGCACCTTTATTTTTAAACGTCAGTAACTATTAAGCTATGAACATCATAATAAGCATGGTGTGCATGAAGAAATATTGAGTTGGCATGGTTAACCTAGAAAAGTGAATCACTACTCATGGAGAGCCATTAAGAGCCTATGGCAGGAGGCAACATGTGTATTGATCATTTGTGGAAGTGGAGAGGGTGTGTGGAAGACGAGACCATCAGATTGACTTACCATGTTCTTACCTGGGCCCTTTCCTACTATTTTTGCTCATACACCACCCTCATTCTGGAGAAGAGAACTATCGCCTGATTTGATCTCATACAATTGCCAGTACTTATGTCTTCCTCCAAATAGCAATTACATACCTTCTTCTGGAAGAAATAAGAGGGACTGAGAGGCCCATTTCTAAGTGTGACCTACTGTCAAAAAATTGAATCCCAGAGTGAAATGGGAGAAACTCCAGCAACATCATAAATATGCTGAGTTTTTCCTCAAAATCTGAAATGAAACTATTTAATAATTGCTTTTTTTTGTTTGTTTGTTTTTGAGACAGAGTCTCACTCTGTTGCCCAGGCTGGAGTGCAATGGCAATGGCGCAATCTTGGCTCACCGCAGCCTCCGCACCTCCCAGGTTTAAGAGATTCTCCTGCCTCAGCCTCCCGAGTAGCTGGGATTATAGGCACGTGCCACCACACCCGGCTAATTTTTTGTATTTTTAGTAGAGACGGGGTTTCACTATGTTAGCCAGGATGGTCTCAATCTCCTGACCTTGTGATCGGCCTGCGTTGGCCTCCCAAAGTGCTGGGATTACAGGCGTGAGCTACCGTACCTGGCCTAATTGCTTCTTAAATATAGTTGTGTATTATAATTTTCAATATGTGTGCATCCATCTATTTAAATATCAAATGCTACATATTTAATAGGTCTTTTGTTATACATGCAATCTTCTTATCTATATTGTTATTTTAAACCTTCATCTGCTACTTAATATATATTCCATAAATATTTTATTGAACCAAGTAAACATATTCTGTGTGAATTTCTCTTCTTTAAAAGGGATATCCTTCACACCTGTGAAGTGCTTCCCAGCACTTTAGGAGGCTGGGGCGGGCATATCACAAGGTCAGGAGATCGACACCATCCTGGCTAACACAGTGAAACCCCGTCTCTACTAAAAATACAAAAAATTAGCTGGGTGTGGTGGCAGGCACCTGTAGTCCCAGCTACTCAAGAGGCTGAGGCAGGAGAATCACTTGAACCCAGGAGGCAGAGGTTGCAGTGAGCCGAGATCATGCTACTGCAATCCAGCCTGGTGACAGAGCGAGACTCCATCTCAAAAAAAAAAAAAAAAAAAAAAAAAAAAAGTGGGGGGATATCTTTACCTTCAGGAAATCAACTTGTATACTGGTAAAATACATGATAACCTAGCATGTGTAGCTCTATTCCTGTCAAAAAAAAATGGGAATATAGTCAGGAACCTGCTACCAGCATCTTCTGGAGATTCCTAGTTAAAGAATATAGTAACAGAGACCCCAAAATCACTTTATTTTCCAGATAGAAATAGAGAATGAGGCATTTTGCAATTTAATTACAATAAAATGTAAGAGAAGAGGCTTTAGAAACATAAATCAAACCAATCAATCTGAAATTCATCTTGATTTAAAATTTTGCAATACAAAAATGCCACATAGAAACACAACAATCTCTAACCTCAGTTACATATATTCAACATCCCCACATGTCACTCATTCAAATTAGAAACTACTATTTTTCAACAAGACTTCTTAGCCAAATGTCTGATGTGAGTAGCTGTTTTAGAGAAAGCCAAACCAATCCTTTACTTCCACTTACCCACAAATAGATAAGTGGAGGAAAATCACAAAGAGAGAATCAGGCTCTTATTCTCTACCATGCAGGCTTGCTGGGAACTCATGCGTTAGGTAATACCAGGGCAAAAACTGAGACATGGTCAAAAGCTACATAATCATAGCTGTGGTCCCCTTGTATATCCTTCCATCCATCCATCCATTCAATACATGCTGACAACATTGAATATATTGTCTACTTGAGGTGAGAAAGCATCCCCAAAACACTGTTCATTCATTTCATTGAATGAAATCACATTGAGAATACTGAGGAAATACCCTGTTTTTGAGCCCAACTCTCATCTTCCTAACCCTTCAAAATGCCTAAACCCAAACTGGCACCTCTAAAGCTCAAGATGAATTTATTCTGTTTTTCTTTTGACAATGCCAACTGTGTTGTAATTGCTGTTTCTGTAGTTGACTGTATCAAATGTTAAAAAAAAATTAATGCTTCTTTGGATACTTATGCAGATACTATTTTTTTTCTGTACAGTTATCTACCAGGTCACAAATAGAAAATTAGGCAAATTTGAGAAGCAATGCTATTACTGGTAAAATGCTTCTGTGACTGAGCTTTTGCTTCTTAGAAGCCATTTTCCTTGTTTATGTGTGAATTGTGCATGTGGTAGCATCACACTACTCCAGCAACTAGAACCCTCAATTCTCTCAAATCTACGGTTCTCATGTCACAGGCCATGAGCTCCCTCTGTGGAGGAATCTCAGTGAGATTCACAGAGGGAGCTCATGGCTTGTAACATGTCTCCTAAGAGTCTGTTATACCCAGAAGTAAAATCTCTGTTAGCACAGCTGTTCTGAGAAAGCAGAAAGAATATAGAAGATTGAAGAGGAATAGGGTCATAGTGTCCCTTCTTCAGGAATTTTCCAATGTGCTGTGTGCCTGTTAAGTATTCTGGGAGAGAGCAGAACTGGATATCCATGTATCCTCAAACAATGGCACTAACTGTATCTTCTATACTTAGAACCAGCATGATATCCAGGAAGAGCATGGGATTTTGAGACAATAGCTGTGGATATAAATTCCAGATTTTTTATCTTAAACTAATCATTCAATATTCTAGTCCCTGAATTTCTTAATTCATAAATTGAAATTATGGTTATCCATTTCAAAGAACTGTGGTTTAAGCTAAGTAAAAGAAAGCATGTACTTAAAGGAGACAAATGCAGAACTTGAAGATAGTGGGTGCTCAGTAAGCATTACTGTTCTTCTTTTTGTTATTAGAGAAGAAATACGGGTTGGCATGGGAGAGAAATGCAACAGAATATGATTGAATCAGGTAGACCCCAGCAGGAAGAAAAGCCCCCATTACATTTCTTTTGATTTTGTTTGAAAGAGTTTGAGGATAGCCCTGCGGATTTGTTTAGTCTTCACACTATATATGATGGGGTTCAGCCGAGAGGGGCCAAGGAAATAGATGTTGGACAATAGTGGGTGGACATATTGGTGAAGCCTTGTGGAAAAATCTGTGGACAACTGAAAGAACAACCCAGGGAATGTAGAAGACTGCAACTGCCCCAATGTGAGATCCACAAGTGTCGAAGGCCTTCCTCCGTCCCTCTGAAGAGATGATGTTTAGTACAGAGTGGATTATCAGGATGTAGGAAAGCGCAACACATGGTGTACCAACCCCGGTGACCAGAATGAGAACAGCTAAGCCTCCATAGCTGTTCATCCTTGAATCAGAACATGCAACTTTAAGCGCATCAGGGTGGAAGCAGTAAGAATGGGAAAGGACATTGACTTTGCAAAATGACAGTCTCTTAATGAGAAAGAGGGATGGACAGAGGCTGATCAATGTTCTTAGGACTATTGCTACACCAATCTTTAGAATTCTGGAGTCTGTCAGGATGGTAGCATATCTGAGGGGTCTGCAAATGGCAACAAAGCGGTCAAAAGCCATGGCCATCAGTACTGAGGATTCCATAAAGCCAGAGCTGTGGAGGAAAAAGAGCTGGATGATACATGCATTGAGGATGATTTCACGTGCACTGAACCAGAGGACACTGAGGGTCGTGGGCATTGTGGAGAGGGTCAGCCCCAGGTCAGCGGCAGACAGCATGAAGAGAAAACAGTACATGGGTTCATGGAGGTTTGGCTCCAGAATAACAACCAATAGGATCATGCTGTTCCCTAAGAGAGCAACTGTGCTCAGAAGGAAGAAGGGAATTGAGATCCAGATGTGGAAGGCCTCCAGCCCAGGGAAGCCTGTTAGGAGGAAGATTGGGAACTCAGATGTGGTGTTGCTGAGGTGTGGCATGGTGAGCTGGTTAGTTAGTACCTGACTTCATTGAGCACCCATACTGAGCAGGGGAACTAAATTCCAAATCTATCTGTGCCTGAGAGATTGTTGGGAATGTTCTCTCCCAAATCTGTGGAGCCAGCCTAAGGGGAGAAAAATACAATAGCCCTCATTGATCAGTCATTTGGCTCCTGAAGCACTTCTCATACTCATAATCCTACCTCATCCTATCTCACAACAGTTTTGGTAAAAAAAAAAAAAAAAAAAAAAAAAAAAAAGGATCAGCAGATCTTACTACCTTGCACTGTAAACTGAAAGAGGAAAAAGAGCTGAGATTGTGGTACATTGCTGATAGATCCCATCCTACTCTCATAGGAAGTTCACTGCATTTTCATCAGTTGTGAGAGCCAGAGATGGGAACCAGGCAAAGTCTCCAAGATTTTGGAGGGAGGATTGGCATTAAATTCTGAGTTGCAGTTATTCCTCTTCATGCAGATAACTGTCCTTCCTACTAGAATCAGATCCAGAAAGAGGAAAACTCCCCATCTGCTTTCCTTTTGCCTGAGTCTCAGCTCTCCTCTTCCCTGGAGTCTGGATCTGCAGCAGCTCCTTACCTACTCCAGGGTCCTGCAGTTTCACACACACCCAGGCTGAGAGAGGAATTACAAGTAATCCACAGGTCAGGGCTTTATATTGAACCCCATAGAGACTTGTTCAGTTTCCCCAGGTCCATCAAGATTGGAGAAAAGGGAGAACTTTGAGAAAAAATAAATAAATAAAGCATGTTTTGCCAAGTGGGCAACAGATTGTCATCTGAGTAAGATTTCCTCAGGCAAAACCCTAGTGCCTCCCCAATAAAATCAATAAGATGGAGCCCCTGATCTGGAGACATGTCCCTGAACAGATCTATTAGACAGTAGAGGATACTAAAACATAGCGAAAACATATCCCAGAGGAGTAGGGAATGGTCTTGCAATTTTTAGTGAGGTTTAGAGAACTCTATCTGGTGCTTAATTATAGTTATCTCCTGCTTCAGTCATTTATCACCTCATGAGGCTGTTTGTTAAAAGCTGCATTCTATTTGCAGAATTTGAAAGGAAAAATATTTGGGCTGAAGGTTTTTATGTATAGTGAATTAGGATTTGTAATGATAATTATGAAAATAATGAAATAATGTACAATAGCTAAGAATTTGAAAAGTCATGTAAGTAAAGTCAATTATGAGAAAGAAATAATCTAGTAGGCATGAGAAATACCCACTAAATCTAGAGGATGGTACAAAATACTGTTAATTTATCTACTGAGTTACCTTGTAGCTAATGAGTCTCGGACAATAAGTATACATATCAAAAGGAATAGTCATTAATTATCTGTGTTCAAGGAACTTTAACTACAGAGTCTCATCTATACCTAGATATGAATTAGGGGACAAGATCTTGAACTTCAAGCTGATATAATAAGATGAGACATGGAGTACTTAAGAGAGAGGATAAATACATTTTTTAATTTGTTAACAATGCAAATTATGGCTAGTACAGTGATCAACTGTCTGCTCTTTCCCAGAACTGAAGGGTTTCTTGGAATGTGAGACTTTCAGTGACAGTCTTGGGCAAACTGGGATGGTTGGTTATCTTACTAGAGGCCTGAGGGTAGCAGACTGTATTTTGCAGAGATGGTCACACCAGTATATATCAACCCACATGCATTTCTTACAAGCAACATTGACACCTGTCTATCAAAAAATGAAGTCTATATTGCCTCCCCTTGAATCTGGATGGGCCTGTGACTCTGGCAAAATTGATGTTTTGTGAAAACATTCAAAATCTTCTCTTTCCACCATCTTGAAATATGCAACACATTTACAATAGCCCAATTTGATCATTATACTATGTACACATGCATTGAAACATAACATTGTACTCAGTAAATATGTACAATTATTACGTGTCATTTATTAGTAAAAATTTTTAAAGAATAATGCTATGTGCCTATGTTAGCTTCCCAGAATTTCCATGACAAATTACCACAAACTTGGTGGCTTAAAACAAATCAAATGTACCATCTCTGTTCTAGAAGCCAGAGTCCAAAATCAAGGTGTCAAGAGCCCACACACTCTCCAAAGAATCTAGCAGAGAATGTTTCCTTGCCTATTCCAGCTGTCACGGCTTCAGATCTTTCTTGGCATGTGGCTACATGATGCTAATCTCAGCTTTTATCTTCACATGGCCTTCTCCTTTTCTGTCTCTTAAAAGGACAATCGTCATTGGATTTAGGACTCACCTGGTTCATCCAGGATGATCTCATCTTGTGATCATTACCATAATTATATCTGCAAAGACCCCTTTTCCAAACAAGGTTATATTCACAGGTACCAAAGATTACAACTTGGGCATAGCTTTTAGAGGTACACCATTCGATCCACTAGAGTATCTTTTAAGGCTAATTCTGATTCCTACAGATTCCTTGTGCACTTGGAACACTCACCTTGGAAACCAGCCACCATGATGTGAAGAAACCAAGCTGTGTCATGGAAAAGCCACATGTATGTGTTCTGATCACTGCCCCAGCTGAAATGCTGGCCAACAACCATTATTAACTGCCAGATATTGTAAATGAGGAGGCCTTCAGATGACTTCAGTCTCCAGCCTTTGAATTATAGTAATTGATCCTGTTCCTGAATGCAGCAAACTATGCTTTACCAAGCCTCGCCTGCACTTCAGAGTTGTGAGCAATAAAATGTCACTATTTTAAACCACTAAATTTGGGGTATTAGTCCATTTTCACATTTCTGATAAAGACATACCTGAGACTGGGCAATTTACAAAAGAAAGAGGTTTAACTGGACTTAAAGCTCCACATGGCTGGGGAAACCTCACAATCATAGTGGAAGACGAGGAGCAAGTCACATCTTACATGGATGGCAGCAGGCAAAGAGAGAATGAGCGCCAAGAGAAACAGGTTGCCCCTTATCAAACCATCAGATCTTGTGAGACTTATTCACTACCATGAGAACAGTATGGAAAGACCTGTCCCCATAATTCAATTACCTCCCACAGGATCCCTCCCACAACACATGGAAATTATGGGAGATACAAGATGAGATTTGGGTGGGGACACAGAGCCAAACCACATCATTCCACCCCTGGCCCCTCCTAAATCTCACTTCTTCACATTTCAACATCAATCATGCCTTCCCAACAGTCCCACAGAGTCTTAGCTCATTTCAGCATCAACTCAAAAGTCCACAGTCCAAAGTCTCATCCAAGACAAGGCAAGTCCCTTCTGCTTATGAGCCTGTAAAATCGAAAGCAAGTTAGTTTCTTGCTAGGTACAATGGGGGTACAGGCATTGGGTAAATACAGCCATTCCAAATGGGAGAAATTGGCCAAAACAAAGGGGTTACAAGCCCCACACAAATCCGAAATCCAGCAGGGCATTCAAATCTTAAATCTCCAAAATTATCTCCTTTGACTCTATGTCTCCCATCTGGGTCACACTGATGCAAGAGGTGGGTTCCCATGATCTTGGGCATGTCTGCCCCTGTGGCCTTACAAGGTACATCCTCCCACCTGGTTGCTTTCACAGGCTGGTGTTGAGTGCAGCTTTTCCAGGAGCACGGTGCAAGCTACTGGTGGATCTATCATTCTGGGGTCTGGAGGATCGTGTCCCTCTTCTCATAGCTCCACTAGGTGGTGCCCCAGTAGGGGCTCTGTGTGGGGACTTCAACCCCACATTTTCCTTCTGCACTGCCCTAGCAAAGGTTCTCCTTGACAGCCCCACCCCTACAGCCAACTTCTGCCTGGGTATCCAGGCATTTCCATACATCTTCTGAAATCTAGGCAGAGGTTCTCAAACCTCAGTTCTTAACTTCTGTGCACTTGCAAGCTCAGCATCACATGAAAGCTGCCAAGACTTGAGCCTTGCACCCTCTGAAGCCACAGCCACAGCTCTACATTGGCCCCTTTCAGCCATGTCTGGAGCAGCTGGGATGCAGGGCACCAAGTCCCTAGACTGCACACAGCACAGAGACCTTGGGCCTGGCCCAATATACCACTTTTTCCTCCTAAACCTTCAGGCTGTGATGGGAGGGGCCACAAAGGTCTCTGACATGCCCTGGAGACATTTTCCCCGTTGTCTTGGGAATTAACATTTGGCTCCTTCTTACTTATGCAAATTTGTGCAGCTGGCTTGGATTTCTCCTCAGAAAATGAGAATTTCTTTCCTATCCCATTGTCAGGCTGCAAATGTTCTGAACTTTTATGCTTTGTTTCCCTTTTAAAATTGAATGCCTTCAGCAGCACCCAAGTCTCCTCTTGAATGCTTTGCTGCTTAGAAATTTCTTCCTCCAGATACCCTAAATTATCTCTGTTAAGTTCAAAGTTTCACAAATCTCTAGGGTGGGGCAAATTACCACCAGTCTTTTTGCTAAAACATAACAAGAGTCACCTTTGCTCCAATTCCCAACAAGTTCCTCATCTCCATCCAAGACCACCTCAGCCTGGGTTTCATTGTCCGTATCATTATCAGCATTTTTGTCAAAGCCATTCAACAAGACCCTAGGGAGTTCTAAACTTTCCCACATTTTCCTGTCTTCTTCTGAGCCCTCAAACTGTTCGAACCTCTGCCTGTTACCCAGTTCCAAAGTCACTTCCATATTTTTGGGGTATCTTTTCAGCAGTGTCCTGCTCTACTGGTACCAATTTACTGCATTAGTCTATTGTCATGCTGCTGATAAAGACATACCCAAGACTGAGCAATTTACAAAAGAAAGAGGTTTAATTGGACTTACAGTTCCATTTGGCTAGGGAAGCCTCACAATCATGGTGGAAGGCAAGGAAGAGCAAGTCATGTCTTACATGGAAGGCAGCAGGCAAATAGAGAATGAGTTCCAAACAAAAAGGGTTTCCCCTTATCAAACCATCAGCTCTTGGGAGACTTATTCACTACCATGAGAACAGTATGGGAAAGACCTGCCCCCATAATTCAATCACTTCCTACCAGGTCCCTCCCACAACAGGTGGGAATTATGGGAGCTACAAGATGAGATTTGGGTGGGGACACAGAGACAAACCACATCAGGGTGGTATTTTATACAACACTATATAATCAGAATGGTTTTAAAATAATATTAAAATTATAGTTTAATACTTGATTATGCAATCAGTTTTTTTTTTTTTTTTTTTTTTTTTTTTTTTTTTTTTTTTTTTTTTTTTTTTTTGAGACGGAGTCTCGCTCTGTCGCCCAGGCCGGACTGCGGACTGCAGTGGCGCAATCTCGGCTCACTGCAAGCTCCGCTTCCCGGGTTCACGCCATTCTCCTGCCTCAGCCTCCCGAGTAGCTGGGACTACAGGCGCCCGCCACCGCGCCCGGCTAATTTTTTGTATTTTTAGTAGAGACGGGGTTTCACCTTGTTAGCCAGGATGGTCTCGATCTCCTGACCTCATGATCCACCCACCTCGGCCTCCCTGCAATCAGTTTTTAAGGCAGGTTTGCTGAGATAAAATTATACATACAATAATTAACCCTTTTTTGTGTACAGAATTCAAAGTTTCATCAGATTTATGCAGTCGTACAACCATCACCACAATCAAAATAGATAACACTTTCATTAGTCAAAATATTCTCTTATGCCTGTATAAAATAAGCCCTCTTTTCTACCCCCAGCCCCTGGCTGGAGCTGTAAACTCCTATACTTTAATCTTTTCTAGAATTTTATATAAATGGAAACATATAGTCTCTGTATGTAACTTCTTTTGCTTTGCATGATACTTTTGAAATTCAGCCATTTTATTTCATGCATCAAGTTTTATTGCTGAGTATTATTACATAGCATATATAGTTATGTAATTAAATATGTAAATTTACATATCTACAGATACATATTTACCTATAAAGATTTATTTATAGATACATTAATTTATATATTTATCAATATATGTTTATATATTTTATTTTAAAATTACTTTCCCATCTGTGTTATTTCTAGTTTTATACTACTATGGAGAAATATGTACTTCAGTACTTTGCAAAAAAATATGTTTTCTTTTCTCACAGGTAAATACCTAGGTGAAGTTTCTGGCTCATATGCTAACTGCATGTTTAGCTTTATAAGAACCTGCTGAACTGTTTCCAAAGTGACATCTTTCATTTCCACTAGCCATAATGCATGAGTACAGATTTCACTGTATCCTTTTTACATATAACCAATAAAATAATTACATGCAAAAATAAACAAAAATCAATAAGAAAATAGATAATCTTGAGAAAAAAACAGATTAAACTTTTAACAATTACTTTACAAAAGAAGATATCCATGTGTCCAATACACACAGGAAAATGCATCCAACTTTAAGGAAATGTAAATTAAAAACATAACATAACACCACTACATATATGTCAGAGTGGCTAAAATTGGAGACAATACTAAGTGTTAGTGATGATGCAGATACTAAAATTCTCATGCACTGCTTGTGGGAGGGTTGTTTGCTATATCCTTACAAAAACCTTTTTGGTCATGTATGTTAAAACTGCATTCCTTATGAACTAGAAATTTTATTTCTTGATAAACCCCAACAGAAATGTGTTCATGGGCTTACAAAGGGAATATGCAAGAAAGTTTACAATAACAATATTTGTAGTAATTCAAAATTGAAAAATAAAAACAAAATGACCAACAATAGTCAACAAACTAATAAGTTGATGTATACCCACAAATGGAATTCTATGCAATGATGATAATGAGAAAAACTACTACATACAGCAACATGGATGAATATACAATCACTCATTTCAACATTGAGTAAAAAACTCAAGGAGCAAAAATGTATGTACAGTTTAATTCAATTTATACAAAGTTCAGTTACTGGAAAAAAATACGGTGCTTCAGTAAGGAGGCTGGTTGCCATTGAGGAGGTTTTGACTTGAAGGAGAGATGTCAGTAATGCTCTGTGTCTTAAGCTTGGTGATGGTTAATGGTTCTATTCCGTTTGCTAGGATTCATTAAGCTAAGGAATATGTTGAACAACTTGAAAACAATAAATTTGAAAACTTAGATGAAATTTGACATTTTCTTAAAAATAGGACTTAGCTAAACTAATGTAAGGAAGAAAGAAATTCAAATGTGAATTCAAAAAGTTTTCTGAAATGAAATATTCAGCTTCAGAGGTGTTTGCTAGTGAATTATCCAAAGAATGTAAGGGAAAAATAGAACAATAAAATAAAAAATACTAATTGTACAAACACTTCTAAAGTGGGTAAGAAAAGAATACTTCCCAACTTATTTTGTGAGTCCACAAAACTTGAAAGGGCATTACAAAACAAGAAAAATTAAAATGAAAATTCTCATTAACTTAGAGGCAAAACTTTCAAACAAAATATTATCAAAAATAACTCAGTAAGAACATTTAAAAATCGTGCAACGTATCTTACCACATTAATAAAATAAAGAGAAAAACTACATTATTCTCCATATGAAAAAAGTGATGAATCTAAATTGATATTCATGGTAACTTAGTAAACCAGAAATAGAAAATTTCTCTTCAAAAATCATACTTAATGTTGAAATGTTTAAGTATTCCCTATGCATTTGGTCACAGGATAATGATGCCTAACATCACCACTTCTACTTAACTTTGTATCCGAGACCTTAAGAATTGAAATGAGGCAAGAAAAGTAAAATACCTCAGCAGAGTAAAGGAAAAGAAAATAAAACTTAAATTATTCACAGATGACATGACTGTGCATTTACATAATCAGGAAGAACAAGAGGCATAGCACTACATACAATAATTGACATGAATGAATAAATGATTATTAGTAGTTGGTGTTATTAAGCAAGATAACTGGATACAAAAAACAGTATTAAACTATCAATTGTATGTCTATAAATCAATAACAAAAATAAATTTCTAAGATGATATTATTTAAAATAGCATCAGAAATCATGCAACTGAGAATCAAATATGTGAAAGGTTTTGATAGAAAAAACTATTAATCATCAGAAATTGAAGACACATACACATATTTATCATGTTCATGAATTATAAGGTTTAATATTTTAAACAAGTAAGTTCTTTCAAAAATGGCATATATATGTAATCCCAAATCAACATTTTAGCAGGTTTTCCTACAGTGGTTATTCTAAAATTTATGTGAAAATGTGAAGTATATAGAATTGCCTAGGCACTGCTGCAAAAGAATAAAGTTGAAGCTTTATTCTTATAATACCAGGCATCAAAGCATATTACAGGGATAGTGCAGTATTGGTGCAAGGAAAGACACATAGGCAAATGGGACACACCAGGAAATCTAGAAAGAAACCCACATATAGGCATTTGATAGATACCAAAAGTGATATCACAATGCAATAACAAGAGAATGTTTATTTTAATAACGAATACCAGATCTATTGGATATCCATGTGGAAATCAACGACATGATGAAGTCATGACGAAGGTAAAAGGGCACAACTCAATGGAAAATAGGCAAAAGGCTTGGAGAGGCATTTCTTAAAAGGGAGTATCCAAACAGCACAAAATATATCAAATGTTGTTTCACCCTATTAGTCATAAAGAAATTAAAATTAAAACTCCAATGAAGTATCAGTGAACACCCATAAGAAAGGATAAAACAAAAACAGAAATGACACTTATAGAGAAAGATGTGAATTGATTTGAACTGCCATGCACTGCCATATACACTGTGGGAGTATATATGGCTATACACGATTTCTGTGGAAAACTTTTTGGCCATATCTACTAAAGCCAAACAAAAACCTACTCAGTCATCCAACAATTCCACTCTCAGGTATATAACCATTGAAAAGGTATGCATATGTTATGCATGTTTTGTAATGCCAAGCACAGTAATATTCATAGCAGAATTATTCACAATAGAAAATGGGAGAAACAACAACATCCATCAACAACAGGATGGAAAAGTTAATTAAGGTGAGGTATAGTCATACGCTGGAACATTACAAGGCAATAAAAAGCAAAGAACTATAACTATACACACTCTGTGGAAGAATTTCTCAGACACAATGTTAATATAAATACAGCACTGATCCAATCAGATAACATCCAAAAACAGGCAAAACTAACCTATTTGGATAGAAGTGAGGAGAGTGATCACCTTTGAGGAGAAAGGAATAATGGTTGAAATATCTTAAAAAGTGGTTTCTTCTGTTAGTAATTTTTCATTTCTTTATCTGGATGGTGGTAACATGGATGTATTCAAATGTGAAAATTCAACCAGTTTGCTTGTAATCTGCATACTGTGATGTATGTATACTTCAATAAAAGAATTACTTACAAATATTTAAGGATAAATTCCTTATTTTACCTTCTATGCCTATGGCTTTCAGAAATGACCTAGGTATACAACTGTCTACTTGGGAAAATATTTTAAAATCTTCAGACAAATCTGTGTTTGAATTTTACCTCTGATACTCATTATCTATATAAAGTTTAACAGGGTCCTTAACCTTTATGATTCTTAACTTCTAGACATATGAAGTTAAAACATCATTTTTACTTACAGTAGCTAGAGGGGACCAAATCTCATGGCACATAGGTGCTCAGTAAATGAGGTTACTATGCCTAATCTTCATTTCATGTCTGAGGAAACTGAGATTCAGGGAGGTTAATCAAATTTTGCAAAGAATTACAAGTAGCTATTGGAAAAATCAGGATGAAGAGAACCTAGAATTCTGTCCTAGTACCCTTGTATTTTAAGAATTTTCAATCTTTATATCACAAGTCCCATTGTCCAAGGGTAATTCAACTGGTGTGTGGTAAGCATAGTATACATATTTTTTAAGTTTAACTCCTCAACATCACTAATTGTATTAGGCTGTTTTCACACTGCTATAAAGAACCACCTGAGACTAGGTAATTTATAAAGAAAAGAGATTTAGTGAACTCACAGTTCCACAGGATTAACAGGAAATATGACTGGGAAGACTCGGGAAACTTACATTCATGGTAGAAGGCAAAGAGGAAACAAGCATGTCTTACCACGGTGGAGCAGGAGAGAAAGATAGCAAAGGGGGAAATGCCACACACTTTCAAACAACCAGATATCATGAGAATTCACTTATTATCATGAGAACACAACAGGAAATCTGCCCCCATGATTCAATCACCTCCCACCAGGCCCCTCCCTTGACACTTTGGAGATTACAATTTGAAATGAGATTTAGGTAGGGGGCACAGAGCCAAACCATATCACTAATCATCAGAGAAGTACAAATTAAAGCCACAATGAGATATAATCTTGAACCAGTCAGAAATGCTATTATTAAAAAGTCAAAAAATAACACATGTTGGGGAGGATTCAGAGAAAAGAAAATGCTTATACAGTCTTGGTGGGAATACAAGTACAATCTCTATGGAAAACGGTATGAAGGTTTCTTAAAGAACTAAACATAGAACTGTTATTTGATCCAGTAATCTCACTACTGGGCATCTACTCAAAGGAGAAGAAATTAGTATATAAAAAAGATACCATCACTCACATGTTTATCACAACACTATTCACAATTACAAAGATATGAATCAACCTGGGTGTCCATCAAAGAATGACTAGATTAAGAAAATGTGGCATATGTGCACAATGGAATACTACTTGGTCACAAAAAAGAACAAAACTCTGTGTTTTGAAGCAAAATGGATGAAACTGGAGGCCATGATCTTAAGAGAAGCAACTCAGAAATAAAGTCAAGTACTGGGTGTTCTCAGTTATAAATGAGAGCTAAACAATGTTTACACATGGACGTGGACTGTGGAATGATAGACACTGGAGACTTGGAAGGGTAGGGGAGTGAAATGAGCATGAATAATAATAAATTACTTAATAGGTATAATGTACATTATTCACATAATGGTTACATTCAAAACCCAGACTTCACCACTATACAATATATGCATGTAACAAAACCATACTTGTACCCCTTAAATTTATACAGAATAAAGGCCTGGCTCCTTCTCTCTCTCTCTCTTTCTCTCTCTCTCTCTCTCTCTCTCACTCACTTCCTCTCTTTCCTTGTACTCTCTGCACTCGCTTGACTACCCTTCACTTTCAGCCATGAGTGGAAGCAACATGAGGCCCTCACCAGAAGCTGAGCTGATGCTGACACCATGATTTCTGTACAGCCTGCAGAACCATGAGCCAAATAAACCTCTGTTTCTTTACAAATTACCCAGCCTCAGGTATTCTTTTACAGGAACACAAAACAGGCTAAAACATAGATCATCAGCTGGGTTGCAGTTACATATGATATATCATTGAGCAGTCAAATCAATGTGCAGAAGTCACAAGCATTCTGATACATCAACAACTGGCAAGAAGAGAGCCAAATAATGAATGAACTCCCATTCACAATTGCTACAAATAGAATAAAATATCTAGGAATACAATTAACAAGGGAAGTGAAAGACCTCTTCAAGGAGAACTACAAACCACGGCTCAAGGAAACCAGAGAGGACACAAACAAATGGAAAAATATTCCATGTTCATGGATAGGAAGAATCAATATCATGAAAATGGCCACACTATCCAAAGTAATTTATAGATTCAATGCTATTCCCAATAAATTACCACTGACATTCTTCACAGAATTAGAAAAACTATTTTAAAATTAATATGGAACCAGAAAAGAGCCTGTATAGCCAAGACAATCCTAAGCAAAAAGAACAAAGCTGGAGGTATCACACTATAGGACTTCAAACTTTACTATAAGGCTGCAATAACCAAAACAGCATGGTACTGGTACAAAAACAGACACATAGACCAATGGATCAGAATAGAGAACTCAGAAATAAGATCACATATCTACAACCATGTGATCTTCAACAATCCTGACAAAAATAAGCAATGGGAAAAGGAACCCCTATTTAATAAATGGTGCTGGGAGAACTAGCTATCCATTTGCAAAAAATTGAAACTGGACCCCTTCCTCACATCTTACACAAAAATTAACTCATGATGGATTAAAGACTTAAATGTAAAACCCAAAACTATAAAAACCCTAGAAGAAAATCTAGGCAATACCATTCAGGACATAGGCACAGGAAAAGATTTCATGATGAAATTGCCAAAAGCAATTGCAACAAAGGAAAAATTGACAAACAGGATCTAATTAAACTAAAGAGCTTCTGCACAGCAAAAGAAACTATCATCAGAGTGAACAGGCAACCTACAGAGTGGGAGAAAAAATTTTGCCATCTATTCATCCAACAAAGGCCTAATATCCAGAATCTACAAGGAACTCAAACAAATTCACAAGACAAAAACAAGCAACCCCATTAAAAAGTGGGCAAAGGGCATAAACAGACACTTCTCAAAAGAAGACATTCATGCAGCCAACAAACATATGAAAAACAGCTCAATATCACTGATCACTAGAGAAATGCAAATCAAAGCCACAAGGAGATACCATCTCACACCAGTCAGAATGGCCATTATTAAAAAGTCAAGAAACAGAAGCTGGTGAGGTCGTGGAGAAATAGGAATGCTTTTACATTGTTGGTCAGAATGTAAATTAGTTCAACCATTTTGGAAGATGGTGTGGCGATTCCTCAACCAGAAATACCATTTGACCCAGCAATCCCATTACTGGGTATATACTCAAAGGAATAGAAATTATTCTGTTACAAAGAAACATGTACATGTATGTTCATTGCAGCATTGTTCGCAATAGTAAGGACATGGAGTTAACCCAAATGCCCACTAATGATAGACTGGATAAAGAAAATGTGGTACATATAAACCATGGAGTACTATGCAGTTATAAAAAGGAATGAGATCATGTTCTTTTCAGGGACATGGATGAGGCTGGAAGACATTATCCTCAGCAAACTCATGCAGGAACAGAAAACCAAACACTTCATGTTCTCACTTATAAGTGGGAGCTGAACAATGAGATCACATGGACACAGAAAGGAGAACAACACACACTGGGGCCCGTCAGGGGGTGAGGTGGGGGCAAAGGGAGAGTATTAGGAAAAATAGCTAATGCATTCTGGGCTTAATACCTAGGTGATGGGTGGATAGTCGCAGCAAACCACCATGGCACATGTTTACCTGTGTAACAAACCTGCACATCCTGCACATGTACTCCAGAACTAAAAATAAAAATAAAAATTCAAAACCAATTAGCAAAAAAAAAAAAAAAAACCCCACAAACACTACACCTCTGAATTCCTGTAAGTCAGGAGTCTGAATACAGCTTTGCTGAGTTTTCTCCAAAGGCTGTGTCTCATTTGAAGCCTTATTGTGGAAGGCTATCCTTCCAAGCTTATGAAGTGTTGCTAGATTCTATTAGTTCCTTGTGGCCTGTTGAGTTGAGGGACTCAGTTTCTTGCTACATGTTGGCTAGGAGGCCATGTTCAGTTCTTGGCTGGTTGTTAGCTGGAGTCCACTCTTAGTCTTTTGCCACATAGGTTTGCCAAACATGGAACCTTGATTCACCAAAGACAGATCTTATATGACATATATGTGATGATATCCTGTCAACTTTGCCATATTCTATTGGTTAGAAGTTAGTCAGAGGTCCTACCCACACTCAACAGCAGAGGATAAACATGGGCTGAGTCCAAGAAGGTAGGAGTACTGAGGGACTATTTTATTATTTTACAATCTGACCGTCACAGATATTTGGGTGAAAACTCTAGATAGTTAGCTCTTTAAGACAACAGAGGCGAAACTTTTAATTATTTATTTCTGACTTATAAAATGATTTGATTATAGTTCATTTTTGTCGTGGAAGTATTAGTCAAAACAGTTGATGGGAATGCCGGGTAGAGATATAGTGCTTCAATTGAACCCATCACACTTTCAGCCATTAAAATTACTTGAACAGGAATGCACAGGAGTAATAGCAGAGTAGAAATCAAAGAAAAATAGCTGAGTGAGGAACAAATTACTGGTATTATTGATACCTAAACAAAAACAAGACTGTCTCCACAAATGTGCAGCTTCTCTATAAAGGAGAAACAAAAGGCTTGAATGTGAGACTTTTCTTATGAACCTAGAATTAGTAGACTGTAAAGTGTCTGCATCCATTAGTCAACTGCCTACACTGACAAAAATGAAAAAACTCTCTCAATAATCAGGTGCTTGAAAGTATTAATGCAAGAAAACAGCAGGGAACAGAGTAAGAATACATGCACATGAGAACATCATTCATTCATGGTAACCCTAGCTACTAGCAAAACAGGGCCAAATTAATATATCAGGAGCTGACACATTTACTGGGGGAAAACTCAGTGTTTGAAAAAGAATGGATTTGAGAATGGACATCTATCATTCTCCCTATGGTTCAATGTGGAAATGTAGGCATAGGAGCCTAGAGACTGGGTGTAAAGTTTTCCCTCTTTATTGTGACCATAATGATCCCAGTGAACAGTGGTTTCTTTTCCTATCTTGCCAGTACACTTATAATCCAGAGACAATGATGTACATCTCTCTATTCCCCAATGCTATGAACAGTGTGTAAATTTTCTATTTATATGCATAATTTGGTTTATTTTCCTCTGCATTTAATGTCCCTGTGGACCACAGGTTACTTGGATTAGTAACTAAAACCCTCTGGGATTACACACTCCTGCCCTCTAATTTTTATAGATAGGGAGAGAGGGTGGTTTCTTTTTTGCTCTGTCTTTGGCTGCAGAGAGACATAAATCATACAAATAATCTCACAGCTCAATTCTACCTTACTATAAAGTCCATGGCTCCAGAACTGTAGTCTATCCTTCCTCATCTAGCAAAGACAGAGAAGGTTCCTCTTTCCACGTAAAGCTGGTAAGAAGGGAGATAGATATATTTATCGTGTTGACTTTTACTTTGTTACCTATTCACAAATAGTCATATGGGTTTATAGAAAAGTCAGATATCATGAGGGTTTGCCCTGTCCTCATCGATCCACATAACATGTAGATATACAACCTCTAATAATTCATACTTAAATATTTTCATAATGTTTCTCAGATTGAATTGAAAATCAGACAACTGGAGATTTAAAATAAACCACAGAATACTAGCATAAAGGGAACAGTAACTTGTATCCTTGCTACAGAATATTTACTCTCATGAATTTGACACATCTAATTTTTTAAAGACTTGATTGAAAAATACTAACATTATACTCATGAATACTGCTATTATTTAATTTAATTCTCCCCAGAATTGATTTGAACAATATAAATATATTAATTGACAAAATTATTCTTGGAATTTTACTTGAAAGAGGCGATATAGCATTTCTGTTTACTGAGCCAATTGCCCTTCTCATTCGCTGTCTCCTGAAAACGTCTACTGTATCCGGAAGCCAGCAGCCATCACTTTACACTTTTGAACAGCAGTAAATTACCCCCAAATACTTCACAGAGAAAAAGGTAACAATTTCCTTATATAACTCTCCACAAACTTACATATTTGACACTTACTAGTGTCAGTGCAAATGATGGTCCTCATTTTTTTGAAGGTTACTCATGCTCTACACTTAATCACCCACTACTTTCTTAAGGACTTTTATAGATCAATAAATCCTTCACATTCTATATTTTAAATTTCTCATTATCTGCTACATTTTTAACCTCCGTTTATAAACATATCAATTTCTCGAATTCTGTCCCATCTTGCAAAAATTCTCCATCTACCTGATACCCCTTCTTTAGACATGGCCTACTTCTCCCCTTGCCTTCACTGCCAAGTTTCTTAAAATAAACCGTACCTCCACTGCTAATACTTTCATCATTACCACACTGTAGCAGGTTCTCAATTTTCCACTGTTTTTTCTGGGATCGCTAATGGCTCTCAGCTGCATTTGAATTTTTTAATCCTTACTAGGCTTCACAGCGCAAGCAATTCGACACAGCTGCTCATGTAACATCCGGTCTTCACACCATGTTTTTTTTTTTTCTTCTTTTTTAGACGGAGTCTCTCACTGTCACCAGGCTGGAGTGCGGTGGTGCAATCTTGGCTCACTGCAACCTCTGCCTCCTGGGTTCAAGCGATTCTCCTGCCTCAGCCTCCCAAGTAGCTGGGACTACAGATACACGCCACCATGCCCAGCTAATTTTTGTATTTTTAGTAGAGACGGGGTTTCACCATGTTGGCCAGGATGATCTTGATCTCTTGACCTCGTGATCCGCCCACCTCTGCCTCCAAAGTGCTGGGATTACAGGCATGAGCCACCTGCCCAGCCTCTTTTGGTTTTCATAGTCCCCATAAAACCAGTCTCATCTTGCTTTAGTGTATATAGTGCATTCCAGTCTTCTGGAGAGTTCTGTCCTCATTGTTTTTCTCTTATAATTCTAGTCTCTGAAGTTGTTTACCTATAGTGTTGGATGAAAATGATAAATATACATTGATAACTTTATATTCCTGGCAAATATCTGGAGATCTGTGTCTGCAGACTCATACCCTTATGGTCACTGAAGAACCATGGATATTTTTAAGTGGCTATTATTCATTGTACTCACAAAATATTCAAAATTGAGGATACTTATTTTTTCTCAGCTAAGTCTTTATTCAAATAATCTTACAATATGATGCATCTTAATATATTCTGTAAATGGACACTATCATGAAAATGTATAAAATCATATGGACATATTTCCCTTGAATTTTATGGTACAAAAACATATTTTTGTGAACTATTTCTGATTATGAGTGGTAGATGAACATTATAATTTAATTTAAAGGTTTCTCAATGATGCAGATCTTATCTATGACCTTGGATAACTCTACTAACTAAAAGAAAATGTATCTAAATATTTTACATAACACTTAATGTATCACTTCTATAGGATGGAAGCATTGTGAGGACAAATGCTGCAAAACCAGGACACCATGGAAATCCTAAGCAACTCAACATCTAAATTTCCAACCTTCTTGTTGACCGGCATTCCTGGCCTAGAGTCTGCCCATGTCTGGATCTCCATTCCTTTCTGTTGTTTTTATGCCATTGCCCTCTCTGGGAACAGCGTGATCCTGTTTGTCATCATTACCCAGCAGAGTCTCCATGAACCCATGTATTATTTCCTCTTCAGGCTATCAGCCACTGATCTGGGCTTGACTGTTTCTTCATTGTCAACAACATTAGGTATCCTCTGGTTTGAGGCACGTGAAATCAGTCTATATAGCTGCATTGTCCAGATGTTTTTTCTTCATGGATTCACTTTTATGGAATCTGGAGTGCTGGTGGCTACAGCCTTTGACCGTTATGTGGCCATCTGTGACCCTCTGAGGTACACTACCATTCTCACTAATTCCAGAATCATTCAAATGGGTCTTCTGATGATTACACGTGCTATAGTACTAATATTGCCACTACTTTTGCTCCTTAAGCCTCTCTATTTCTGTAGAATGAATGCCCTTTCTCACTCCTATTGTTACCATCCAGATGTGATTCAATTAGCATGTTCAGACATTCGGGCAAATAGCATCTGTGGATTAATTGATCTCATCCTGACCACTGGAATAGATACACCATGCATTGTCCTGTCATATATCTTAATTATTCACTCTGTCCTCAGAATTGCCTCCCCTGAAGAATGGCACAAGGTCTTCAGCACCTGTGTCTCCCATGTGGGAGCAGTTGCTTTCTTCTACATCCACATGCTGAGCCTGTCCTTGGTGTATCGCTATGGTCGGTCAGCCCCCAGAGTAGTCCATTCAGTGATGGCTAATGTATACCTGCTTTTACCCCCTGTGCTCAACCCCATCATCGACAGTGTAAAAACAAAACAAATCCGCAAGGCTATGCTCAGTCTGCTGCTTACAAAATGAACAGACATAGTTTTATTTGATACAAACCTGGCATGAATGACTTGCACTGTAGAAAAGCGAACTTGCTCTCTTACTGCCTATTGCATGTGGGTTTTTAAAATATTTTTCATTCACCAAACAAATAGTAAATATGTTGTATATTTGGTCATAAAATATAAGTATGATATATCACCCAAGACATTTGTAGTGGAATTAGGAAAATAACAATAATGAAATGATAAATAATACTCCTGGCAATTAACATGTATTGACTCTTTGTTTCAGGCTAGGTGTTCTACTAACTGCTTTTAAGACATATTCCATTTATTCTTCCAAAACAGCGAAATGAAATATATATTACTATTAGCGATATATTACAGATGATGGAACAGATTTATAGACATTTAGGCCCCCAAAGGCCATGTGAATAACATGAGGCACAGTTGAGATTTGAACCCAGGTGTTCTGTATCTCAAATGCTATGCTCTTCATCACTGTATTACATACTCTGCCAAAGTCATGTAGCAGAAATGTTTTAAGATCAAAAGTAAGACCTGGATCTCCATGGTTCCATCCTTTGTCTTAAAAAGTTGTAGTAACCTTCTTAGAATATACTCTAGCTGTTTTCTTCATGGATAATTCATAATACAAAAGGTAGGAATAGATATGTCATGGCATGTGAGTCACTATCCAGTGTTGGACAGTCCAAAGAAAAGCTTTAGGGGTGAGGCACACTTGCTAATTTATCACAGGGAATGGGAACTTGAGAGAACTAGAAAAGAATGTAAAGTAAATTACAAGGAAGTTTGGGGCAGATGTTCTGAACCTTTTTCTGCATTGTGGTCCCTTAGAAAGCTAATGAAATTTATGGACCTTTCCCCATAGATAAACATACTCACATTATTTTCCATAGTTTTCACAGTTTTCACAAATGCCATTAAAGACCTATGTGACTCCTTAACCAGCTAAAGAACCAAGGTAAAGAATTCATAGTTCTTGCCTATACACAGTTTTACAGAGACAGACACAAAATGTTTGGTTTCTGAAAACGAACTTATGGTAACTCTTTGGATTTAAGAGACAGACAGAAGCTTAAAAATGTCAATTGCATATAATGGCAGAATAAAATCAGAGGGAAATGGAGATGGAAACCTAAAGGCAGTCACATCAATTTTATTGCCATTGGAAAAATAGTGATAGGTGGAAGAAATGTACCAGGTACCCCACAAATACTGAGGGCAGCAGTGTGCTGGAGAGAGCACACACCAGCTTGCAAGAGCCTATTTTTGCATATCTAACTATGCATTATATGATGTCATATTAGTAGCTTGAAATCACTGATAATGATAATTTTTATACCATGTGAACTGGTAAAAATTCTTTTAAATATTTATATAATAGCATTGTTCAATTTAATTTAATAGCATTGAGAACTTTTTCTGTTTTTAAATATTCAGTTTATCAGCACACAGTGACTGTAGGTATATTTTATGTTTGACCTCGTGGGAAACAACAAAAAATAAAAGATCAATAAAAAATATTACTGTGCACTCACGAAGGTTAAAATCTTGTGTGTGTAAAACATCAACATGAACAAAAAGTCATGAAATAATGGACTTATTGGGGTGATAATTCATAATATAAAAGTAAAATTTTACCCTTTATGTTGACTTCTGAGTTGAAAGAGTATCCAAAAGTGCATGCTGGATAGGACGATTTTGTAAGAAACTCTGTGGAAAAATGGAAGAAATATTATATGACAATTTTACTATTCATGGAAGAATTATCTTCTGAGTTTTAAGGTCTGTCTGTACATAGGCATGAAAATTATGAAACACAAACCCTTTTTTCTTCTATTTTCTCTCTTCTTCAGCTTTCCCCAGGTGAACATAGATTATAAAATTTGTGTTAGTAGCTTTAAAAACACCTTTTGATAAAACAATGCCATTATGTAAATGAATTTGTTTATCGATTTAGTTTACAAATTTGGCTACACTTTCTGACTTTTATATGTGAGAGTCTTTTTCTTGAGTAATTCTACATGCCTGCTAGCTGCTGGAACATCAGAAAGATAGATGTGGTAAAATAATGTAATATATACTAACATTATCACAATAAGCACTCATCGCAATATTCCGAACCGATAGCACAGCCACCAGCAGAAAATTTTTAAATTGTCAGAGTCACTGCAAAAAATGAATGTCATAGAGAAAGAGAGAGAGAAACCGTGGGAGGAAAGAAAAAAGGGAGAGAGAAAAAGGATGAAAAAAGGAAGGAAGGAAGGGAGGGAGGGAGGGAGGGAGGGAAAGGAAAGTGGGAGAGAAATTAAGGATGTAACTTAAATAAGTTTCCAAACAGCCCATTTGTTACACCAAGCAAGGATACCCATTTACTGATGTGAGTTAATTAAATCACTTTTTATTGTAGCAACAGAAAATCTATAGCCAGAAAGAATGAACTTATTTAAGACTATTTCTATCTAATTGTTAGAGTCAAAGAACTCCTCAAATACTGTACTCAACCCAAGCAGGTCTGTGATGTTACATCTGTATCCGGGGAAAAATGTAGTACCATGAAACACCGAGTAGAAGCACCTGGGTGAGTGACCCATGAAGACACTGATTATGCAAAAGTCCTTATAATCCTTGGGCTTGCAGAGGTGGCCCACACTTCTCTGGTAAGAACAATCATTTCCACCACTTCGCATAATTCTATCTCCTGGAGCTCTCTCCATCTCTTGTTCTCACCACCAGAATGAACACTGGCATTAAATTCCAGCATAAATCTGTTGGGAATGTGCTGGGCCTAGTAAGATAAGAAAGAGACTATAACCCGAAGAATAGCAAAAATTAGCAAGCATTTTATGGCAAAAATCCATGAAATGCCCTCTGGATTGAATAGTGAGAATGGTTGATCAAGGAGGTCTGAATAGAAGACTATATTAGCAAGAATGCATCAATGTAGGGACATTTATTTGGAATACGAATTTTAACACCTTAACAAGAACACCAAGGAATGTAGCTAATTTACTACTGAGTGACAATTAGCTAGAAAAAGTGTTGGACAACATTCAGCATATTGGAAAAATGATTGTGCTGCCCTAGTAGATGGAAAAGGAAAGAATTTAGAGGCTGATGAAAGTATGCATGCTGGAATAGACTGTGTAAAGATGGAAGACTCACCATACATTTTCCATAAAAGTGCACAGAGGACACATCGTTCAGAAGCCACTGGAAATTAGCTGTGAAAATGATACCAGCATCTCTAAGAAGCTGAGTGGTAGCTCTTTTCCACTAATCACAGAGGCCAGCAGTAGCTGCAGTCAGCAAGCCAGGCTACCCACGCATATGAGGAGGCCTTGACATAATAGAAGCCAGGTTGCAGTAGGTAACCACCAAAAGCCAGAGCTACGATTATCACAGGAACCAACAAGATCTGAAGGGTAGACAAGAGGGCTTAACAAGCAAGTTGGTGTGCACATGGATAATAGAGCATAAACTCCCTGTTTCCAAACAGACAAGCAGCCAACAAGGGGCTAGGTAACATTTACTACAAAAAGAAGGCAAGAATAGAGGAGCAGGACCTGTCAGTCTTTGATGTAGGCTTGACCTTGAGTTAAAGAGAGAAGGAAGGAAGGAAGTTTGGGTAGAAAGAAGCATCCTAGAATGTGGTGCAGTTCTGAACAGATTTAGTCAATGTCATTGGATATCCTCTAATCAAAACACCTGTCAGCAGAGTTCTATACCTTCTAGAAATGGACCTTCCTCAGTTTCTCTGCCATGGTCAGTGATTGCCTAGAAACAGCTCCTGGGCAATGTGGCTTACATAGAATATGACGATGAACTAGGGCTGTTAGTGCCCATGCTCCGACATATGAAGAGAATATTTTAATAACCATCACATTTGTTGAATTAAGAGGAAAATAGGGAAGGAGTTACAAGGAGAAGCCAAGCAACCAAATCTTGAGACAAAGAGAAGCCAGAGCAGCTGTGGGTTGCTCAACAGATGTTTGAATGTCCTCATGTGTCTCCCTTGAAGTTTCAAATACTCAGGAAATGGAGTTTCAGCATAAAGGATATATGAAAATGTTAGTATTCTTTGTGTGTGTGTGTGTGTGTGTCTGTGATGGAGTCTCGCTCTGTCACCCAGGCTGGGGTGCAGTGGCGCTGCGCGATCTCAGCTCACTGCAAGCTCCACCTCCCGGGTTCACGCCATTCTCCTGCCTCAGCCTCCCGAGTAGCTGGGACTACAGGCGCCCGCCACCGCGCCCAGCTAATTTTTTGTATTTTTAGTAGAGACGGGGTTTCACCGTGTTAGTAGCCAAGATGGTCTGGATCTCCTGACCTCGTGATCCACCCGCCTCGGCCTCCCAAAGTGCTGGGATTACAGGCGTGAACCACTGCGCCCTGCCCAGTATTCTTTGTACAGATTTTTTGTAGCTCAGAAATTATTTTGAAATATAATGTTAAAAATCATCCTAAGAGAGTATCTCTTTAGCCCTGCTTGGGTCGCATACCTAACTGTCTAGTATTAACCAATCAAGTCATGTGCACAGGCCCAGTATATTGGGCCCATCTCTATTCTGGGGACACTTATCAGAAAAAGGGAAATATTTTTTGCCAAAGAACTAGCCAATACCACTCATATACCTCTCTTTATCCAACAAAGTGCACTAAGAACATTTAATTAATGACATGTTTTAAAGCAATGGTCATTATCCTGGGGATTAAACTGAATAAGCAAAAAAATATTGTCAACTTTAAAATTTCCCTTTTAGCAAAACTGCTTAAGGCAAAAGTACTAAGGATTACAAAATCATGATTAGATGAATAACAAAACAGTTACATAAAATTATGGAGTAAACAAATTTATTAACCTGCCACATCTTTCCTGCAGGTCAACAGAGACAGAATGAGACATTTTGAAGAAAAGATTAAAAAGTAATAAACATTAAAATCTTACTTTATTAGGCAGAGGCACAATAAAATATCCCTTCTGTGTAATTTACATGCTTTATAAAATTCTCCTGTTTATTGCATTATAAAATTACTTATTCTGACAACTTTAGGAATCCAATTTTTATTTTAGGAATCAAATTTAATACTAAATACTTTAATATTAATAACAAATAGTGCTACATACTATTAAACTTTAAGATAACTAATAATTATTAATCTGTGACAATTTAGGAGAATTTAAAAATGTGCAAAATCATCTACAAAAAATCTACAGCAGCTTGTCTGTGTTTCCTTACTCATTGCTGTTTTGTTAAACAGAAAAGAAACCCATTAGCCAAAACTAAGTTCCACATAATTATGCATTTATTTGTTCATTCTTTATAGTATTTATCAACACTATAACATATGAAAATAAATACAGCATGCTGTTGAAGGGCATGTACTCTCATGAAGTATTTCTAGCCATGTCATCCTGCCAAAATTATCCACATGCCCTTCAGTACCCCAAATTCAGCAAGTCCAAAACCAAATTAATTAGTTTCTTTTATTAGTAATCTGACTCTGTTTTGATGAGTGAAATTATTCCTGATCATGAAAGGTGTAAAGTAATTAAGGCAATATTCTTTCATTGAAGAAACCTGACTATGCCTTCCTCAGACTTCTGGCAACATGACTTTCTGTTTTAATTTCTATTTGATCAAAACTGAAAACTGAAAATTTCTCATCTCCCTTTATGATGCCACCCTTTGTTCAGCCAGCCAAGCCTGATTGGTCAGTGTCTCCTTTGGCCTTTATGTCTATTTTCACCATTCAAACTGGTAACGTTTAACATAAATACGGCTTCTTTGATGCAGACTTCATATCATTTCTCACTGCCTGCTTCACCATTCTGTGTCTTCAGAATCTCTCTCAAGGCACATTCTATCAAGTACTCTCCTTATTCTAACTTATTTTCAACATAGATGTAAGATTAATCTTATAATGGAATTATAATATTGTTTAATATAGGCTTAATTATTTTCTCTTGCTCCCAAATTGTAAATACATTTCACCTGCCAAGAAGATACTAAATCCCAATCCTGTGTACTTTTCTTTAAAATTTTCAGGGATTGTACCACCACTCTATTTTGCTGAAAAAGAAACTGATATCCATTGCTAGGTCTTTTCTTTGAGCTACAGTTATTAGTAGACCAGTTTTCAGGTTTCCTGGTTATATAACACACAATGTTCTTGGAACTTTACTCTCGGCAAAGAAAATACATGAACTATTTGCCTCCCATTCTAGTGAGTCTCCTTTTTCTCTGTTTTTCCACTTTTCTAAAAGTGTATAACAAAGCAACAAGTACAACGATTTTTATATAAGTTCTACTGAACAAACTTGCTAGATTAACCAGACATTTCACTTCCTCTGAAAATATACTACCTGATGATAGCTGCCAGTTGAATAATTACAGCTTATTTTCTAAATAGCACGTTCTCACTGGTCCCAATAAGTAATCTATAGGCTGTCAGTACTTTCATCTTGACTATCTTGATTATTATAACATAATTTGTATTAAAGACATGGTTCTTGCAAAGATGATATGGAATTTCAGTTTGCAAAACTGTATTAAGAGGCCCTAACTCTACATCAAAATATTGTGAATAAAGTACATCTATAAGTTGGAAACTTAAATAAAATGTTCAATGTATGTTAAAATTGTTTTTCTGACTCCTATATGTAATTAACCTTATTCAAAAGCAAACCTAAACATTAACTAAAACAAATTTGGATAAAATGACTTCTATTGTGTTTGTTCATATAATTCTCTTTTCTATACTATGAAATGGATCTTCAAGAGAGGTGAATAAATTAATTTAGTAATATTACTGACCACTGATTTTGTGTCAAGCATGGTATTCATCAGTACTTATCAAGTAAATATTGGTTTGCTTTAGCTTGAACAGCTAAGATTAAATAATATAATGTACCTGACTGGAAAACAATAAAACAATAATCACTGTACAGATAATCAATATAATCCTTGAGGAAAAGCCAGGTCTTTTTTTTTTCCTGGTAGTTGCTTCCACTTGAGTTCCCAACCTGCTAAAACTTCTTTCCTCTGTTCAACAGTCAGTTCCCATGGAGCCCTTGACTTGATCATTCTATATTGCAGCTTGCTTCCAAATTGTAGAAATCCATTTGTTTATTCTAACAGATATTTAAAATATATGTACTATGGAACTGGCATTATGCTATTACCTGGAGATACTTTCAAATCATCTGGCAACCAAATTACTTTACACAAAAATCTATATAACACATTATTTACAAGAAACATATAGCAGAACAAAAACCAAGAAAAAATACTAGACTCTCATCTTAAATGCACTATCCATCTCTAAAGAAATGATTCAATTTCATTTTTAATTGAAATGTGTAAACACAAACTTCCTGGGTCAATACGTTTATTTTCCCTGATGTGATTTTTCTCCACTTAAGCGTCCAAATTTCCTGATGCTAGCTAACTGACCCAATGGGATAAGAAGTGCAGTGTAACAGAATGGTGCAAAAATCCCACAGAGGCACACTTATCCCAGCTGAGTAAATGACTCTACAATTAAGATTCCTTATAGAAGTTTTCCACTCATAGAGATAAATGGGTCACCTTCACATACCCCACTGTAAGTAAGAGCAAGGGAATCTCTCCTCCCTTTCTGAAGCCCAAATCAAGTGGCTGCTCTCCGATCAGAAACAGGACTTAATTGTGTCTTTAATAAATGCCCTTGATGACTTTTAAACTACATCATGAGTGATTTAGCATAGATAAACACAAGGAAGAATTTATTGGAAGTGAAATTAAAGACAAAAATTCACCTAGTCTTCTGGCATTGCTCCTTCAGCACTGCTATTTGTATCCCTTTCAATTCTCCACACCTTGAAAGGTAAGGCTCTCCCCGCTTACCCTTGGTCCCTGACCTCTAAGCCCTTTGAGCTTCTAACTCCACTCACCCTCCACTGTTTTGTTCACTTCTATGGTCCTGTTGCCTGTTCAGAAATCCTGAATTCCATATAGATGTTTTGTTTTCATACATTAAGCTAATCATAGCAAAAATTATACTTCTTATATGTATGTATTTCCTGCCATAAATAATAACCAAATCCCAAAATACAGTCACTGGCACACACTCACTATTACTTAAATTATATTTTGAATTGGTTTACACCTATGCCAGCCCATTTATTCTATTGTGTCTCTTAAGTCTGCATCAATCTGATGCATTTCCTTTTAATTTGATTCTCAACACCAGAGAGATAGAGTGGCAGTAAAATGACCACATCTTTTGGGTCAAACAGTCCTGGATTCACACACTGGCTCCATGAAATCTATCAATGGAAAACTTCAATAAGTCATTCACTCTAACCTCACCTGAAAAATGGGAATATTAGTCACAGCCTATTAATGATGCTGTTAAAGTTACACATGTAGAGATACGTAGCAAGGAAACTGGCTCAATGTTAATTTTTCTTCTTTGTGAGATTATATCCATCCTCTCATCTATTTTCTCACCTTCCACCTGGCTCATATTTCAGCCAAAGCCTCAAATATTAAGGCTGGTTATCTCAGTGCCTCAGGTCATCATGCACTTTGTACATTCATTGCTTTGCCTCCATGTAGGTGGTTAGCTTTGTAACATTCCACAGATGCTGTTCCTAAATTCAGAAAATATATAATAAAGGATCCATCTTAAATCCTTCTCTATAAAGAGGTAAATAAATTAATTAATTAAATGAATCCATGGCATTTTCAATCACAGAAATATCATTTTGTCATTCTATGGAGATTGTATTGGTAGTCACTGCTTTGACAAATCATATGATGATAACTGATTTTTCTCCAAAGGAGGATCTAACTCCAGATTTGTCTTTATCTGAGACGACTAATAATCTAGAAAATCTGACTTCATATTCCTCTTTATAAAATAAAATACTCTTTATCTTGAGTACTCTTACTAATTAGAGGCTAGATAAGAATAAGGCCTTTGTGCTCATTTCCTAAAATCTTCAGGCACAGATTCCAACTTATGTCTACTTACACCCATGAATTTTAGCAATAGAAATTAAGATTTGACTAGCGAGAGGCCGACTGGGTAGTGGCGAATGCAGAAAGGATATCAGGCCCAGACTGTGGGCCTGCCTTGAGACCAAGACCAGGACAGCCATCCTCTTTTGTGCATTCTAGAGATGACGAGAAACAACGCATGTGCAAACTGGTGACATTTTTGTCCTTGGATTAGATGAAGAAACACTACGTTGGAAAACACCAAAGAAGCTAATAACTTAAAAACATAGAAGTTGTTTCTCTCCCACTAATCATAGGATATAGCAATCTGTTCTAAGCTCTTTTAGTACAAATGAGGAATAAGGCCAGTTTCTAAATTTAAGAAATTAGCACGGTCTCATATGTAATATTTTAATCTGTCTATAAACATTGTTTATTACCTTGAAAATAAAAGGTTATTTTGAGGGTTAAGTGTGCAAAGTAGGCACTCAATATTTATTATTCAAAGAAGTAATTAACAAAAGATGAAGGAATAATTTATATATATGGACACATGACATGCACACTAGCAACAGTGGCTATTGTCAATACTACTAGTAATTTCAGAGAAATTAAATTGTTGATTGAAAGGAAATGAAGTCTTAAGTGCTTGAAAAACTGACAAATTTTACTTAAACACTCCGTGACACAACTGTGCCAGATTTCCCGCAGCCTAACAATCCTTACTAATCTTTGTTGACATTAATAACAATTGTTTTAATTAGCATTTCTTTGGCTGACTGTGAGACTGAAAATTCTTCCTGTATTAACTACTAGTCCCTTGGAGAATTCCATTTTTAATTATTTTTGCCAAATTTTTTGTCTTTTTTTTTTTTTTTTTTTTTTTTGAGATGGAATGTCACTCTTGTTGCCCAGGCTGGAATGCAGTGGCATGATCTCGGCTCAGTGCAATCTCTGCCTCCTGGGTTCAAGCAATTCTCCTGCCTCAGCCTCCCAGGTAGCTGTGATTACAGGCATGCACCACCATGCCCAGCTAATTTTGTATTTCTAGCAGAGACGGGGTTTCTCTGTGTTGGTCAGGCTGGTCTCGAACTCGTGACCTCAGGTGATCTGCCCGCCTCGTCTTCCCAAAGTGCTGGGATTACAGGTGTGAGCCATCATGCCCAGCCAATTTTTTGTCATTTTTTAAAAGTCGTATAGTAAACACATTATTCAATTGAATGTTATATATGCTTCAAATATTTCTCCAAATTTATAATTACCCTTTTAAAACTGTGGAAGTTGTTTTTGCTATAAAACAATTATTTGAATTTTACCAAATCAAATACATCAATGTTTACCTCTACAGTTTATATCTTTGGTTTTATATTTAGAAATTTTTCTTCTACTACAGGATTATATAAATATTTACCTGCATTTTATTCTAAACTGTATGTGGCTTTTTGATATTTACATATTTAACCATCAGAAAATAATTTCAGTATGTATTGCGGTGCTATGCTTTATTTTAGTTTTTTTTTTTTTTTTTTTTTCCAAATGGATGATCAGCTTACCTAACTCCTTTTATTCTATATAGCTCACTTTATTTATACCGGTTTAAAAGTCTACCTTTATACGTAACTCAATGTTCACTTGTGCCTCTTCCTGTACTTCTAATTCTGTCTCAGAGACAAACACTGCCCTACTTTCTTTTTTTGAAATATTGTCTTTTCCAGTCGTTTCATTAAAATTGATCATACAATATGTAATATCCTGCATCTGGCTTCTTTCACTCAGCATATTTGAGGTGCATCCATATTGTAGCACTTATTAGCAATTTTTTCCTTTTTGCTGAATAGCTTTTTAGCCTATGGATATTTCACAATTTGTTCACCAGTTAATCAACTGATGGATATTTGGATTGTTTCAATTCTGGGCTATTGGGAATAATGTTGTTATGAACACTTGTATACATGTATTGTGTGTACATATGCTTTCATTCCTCTTTGGTAGAGTCCAAGGAGTAGAATTTCTGGATCATATGGTAAGTTTATGTTTCAATTTTTAAGAAACTGTCAATCTGTTTTTCAAAGTGGCTGTATCATTTTTCATGTCCACAAGCAATGTATTATGTGTCCAATTTCTCCACATGCTTATCAACACTTGGTATTTTTTTTCCTTCGTTCGTTCCTTCCTTTCCTTTCCCTTTTTTTTTTCTCTTTTTTTCTGTTTCTTATTTATAGCCATTCTAGTGGGTGGATAAAGGTATTTTATAGCAGTTTAAATTTTTATTTCTTAATTTTAATTTTACTTTCCTAATTCTCAACTTTCGTGGGCTTGTTAGTCATTTTTATATATGTTTTGGTGATATGTGTATTCAAATATTTTGCCCATTTTTAATTGGATTGTTTGTCTCTTTATTGAGTTCTTTACATTTTTTGTATATGAGTTTTTTATGCAAATATTTTCTCCCAGTCTGTTTTCTCTATTCTTATTTTCTTAATGGTGACTTTTAAATTGTACTTTTTTTTGTTTGAAGTCTGATATTGATCATTTATTTAATGGCTCACACTTTTAATATGGTATCTAATAATGTTTTGCCTAACCCAAGGTCATAAAATCTTCTCCGATTTTTTTTCTAGAAGTTTCTGATTTTTAGCTCTTACATTTAGGTCTGTAATCCATTTTGAGCTAGTTTTTTAGGACAGTGCTTGCTAAGAATCCAAGTTATTTATTTTTTTTCATAGTGATATTTAATTGTTCTAGCACCATTTATTGGAAAGTCTATCCTTTCTCTCATTTAATTGTCTTGACACCTTTATTACAAACCAATTGGCTATAATGTAGGTGTTTAAATCTGGACTCTCCAATTTGTCCTATTAATCTGTATGACTGTCCTCATGCTATGTGTCTTAATTGCATTGGTTTAATGTTAAGTTTTCAATCCAGGTTGTTTCTTCTATTTCAAAATTGTAAGTCTTTTGCATTTCCGTATAAATTATAGAATGAGTGTCAGTTTTTACAGAAAAAAAAGACTTGTTGATATTACATTAAATTTATAGCTCCATTAAGGGAAAACAGCCATGTCTATGCTATTGAGTCTTCTAATCCATTTACATGTGATGTCTCTTCACTTATTTACATCTTTTAAAATATCTCTCAGCAAAGCTTTGTAGTCGTCAGTGTCTTAGTTTTTTTTTTTTGTAATTTTTTTAACATTATACTTGCAGCGAGGATTATTGTCAAACTCTACTCACTAGGCCAAAGACCTTTGTCATGTTACTGAAAAATTTGCCCCTCACATAGCATACTACCTACACTTGCAAGTTTATCAGCCAGTTAGAGCACCAACTCCAAGCTCCAACAACGTGCAATCTCCATCTGTTTTCACATATTTTATTCTTTCTGCGTCATGAATGCCATGTTTTATAAAGGACTTTTTTAATATTTTAATTTTTTTGTAAAACCGGCTTAATTTCCATTTCTTTATAGGAAATCCATATTTTCTGCCTGAAAGCTTGTAATTTAAAAAAAAAACTTATTTAAGTCAAATATTTTATGCTTGTTCTTATCTTCCTGATTTTACCTTGAATACAATGAGCCCTTTCATCCTCAATACACTGGAGTCTTTCCTTTGGAACAGTCATTTTTATTGTATTTATTTTTGTTTACTGTACCTGAGACTATAGTTATTTGTATGTTGGCTTTTCATTTTGTGCCCTTCCCAAATATAATTTTCTCATTATTTTATTTGCACCGTATTTTTTCTATGCATTATGAGAGAATTTTTCAAATGCATTCTCCAAATTGAACTAAGTTAATTACTGTCCCTTGACTCTGTTTTTGATTATGTTCAATGTGCACTTTAATTCTATTTTTTAGTATTTTATTATTTTGACATTTTTCCAATGTGTTCTTTGTTTTTCCATAATGCTATATGATGCTATTACCTACATTACCTTAAGGATGTTTTCTTGTTAGTTCTGCAGAAGTTTTTACATTTGAGATACTGATAACTGAGTCATTGTGATGTGATAGGCAACATGCTACATAGTTTACAGACATTATTACATTTCTTCATATATGCTCATGCTCTGGATTTTCCAGATGTTGTTCCTTTATTAATGAAATATTTTAAAGATTTATGCTAGTATTTTTTTCTTTATATACTCTCTAGTGCAAAACAAGACATCTTCAGTTTTTATTTTTTTTCTTAAAAGCTATGTATGGGGCTTGCTCATGGTTGCTATCCCAATAAGCATTATTATGTGGAATGCAGTTTCTGGTATAATTTCCAGTTTCTAGCAGCCTACAGATAACATTCAACCAACACTGTATATTTCTTTGCAGGCTTAAAATCGGAGGGGAAATTGTAAACCTAAATTCCCAAAATGTGCTGTTTTATTTCACTCTCTTTTGTACATGGGCTAATACTAATTTCAAAATTCAATGTATCTCTACCAGTGCCACCCCTATACCATTATTTTTGGCTACTTTTTCTTGAGATGAGATGTCTGATACAAGACTAAAATCCTTGTTACTTTATAGTTAAGCATCCTATAAAAATAAATGGCTCGTTCCCAACTTTTTATGTTGGTACAGACTCCACATTCCTTAGTATAGACTATGGAGATGTATTCAATGTGGGCTGATATTTTGACTTTATATCTATCCACATCCATCTCCATTTTCCTCAGTTCGGAGAAGTTAATCATTCCCAAATTTTCTGGATTTAGAATATCCATCAGTTTTAGTATCAGTGCTGCTTGTGTTTTTTTTCTTTTTTCTTTATTTGTGATGAAAATTTAATAGAAAGTTGGGAAAGACTCTTTCAGATAGTGCCGATTAAAATCACTTTAAAATGCAAGTCTACTTTACATCTTAGAAAAAACTGATAGCGACATGGTGTGTGAACTAGAAAGAGTCCAATAAAAACAGAAATTAGTGATCAACCGATGAAAGGTGAAAGTCTATGCAGATTTCTGAATTAGGCAATTTCATATATGAAGCTACCATAGATTTATAAATCTATAGATCTATAGAGCTACCATAGAGCTATTAATCAAAGTGGTGAAAATAGGATATACAGGTTGTGGTTCTGTGAAGAAGACTGAATTTAGATGCAATCATATTGTGTTTGAGCTTGCTTTGAGATATTTAAGGTGGAAGAATCAACGAATTAGACATGTGGCTCTAATATTCAGGAGATTAGTCTGAAAAGAGGATAAAAGCTTTAAAGTAGAAAAATGAATATATAAAATCCATTGTCCACGGAATGCCTGTGTTGAAAGTATACAGAAATAGACAACATGTTTGGAGAAATAGCCAAACTAATTTCCATCTACAGCTATAAGTAAGTACTAGTCAATTAGATGATAAAACTTGTGTAAAAATGGGCACGCTTAATGAGAATAAACTTGAATGGTTTGTAAAAACAGTAGAAATCATAAAAACTTAAAATTATATTTTGACTAATACATTCATTCTATAATAAATATGTCATTTCCACAACGGATTAATTTGATTTATAGCATCCAATATTATCTTAAGTATTTACTATTTGCAAAAAAATAAGTTTCAGTAATCTAATTACATTTCATATAATACATGGACAATCCTGAAATAAAATTGTTTCACGTCTGAGCCATACAAATTTTAAATAATCAGAAATCTTCAAATATAGATATCTGTCCCACATTTGCTCTATTTATTAAGAAATAAATATTAACTGAAGAAGTATACGATAATTATCATCATTATTATTATTAGACAGTGTAGTATAGTTGTTAATAGCCCAGGCTTTAGCATCTTTTTGTTTCTGTGATTGATTTCCAATATCATATCTTTCAGTTTTTATGAACTTTGGCAATTTATCCAAACTTTCAAACTTTAGTTTATGCATCTGTAAAAAAAAAAAAAAAAATCTCTCTTTTAGGTTTGTCATAAGACTCAAATGAAATAGTCTATGTAAAATAATTAGAGCAAAGTATGGAAATGGTCTTATCATTAACACAATATTACATACCTGAGTAATCCTATAAGAGAACAAAGATCAGATTAAAGACCAGGGCATTCATGTTACAAAACAAGCTTACTATTTGCCTCACTGATTTTTATCACAACAGAAGCAGGTTTTATAATCATAAACGGGGCAGTATTTTGTGTTACAAACTAAGAAGAATATCAAGCTTCAGGTTCATAGGAACTGAAACATCTCTCCCCTATTAAACATATATAATGAGGCAAGATGAATGGGCTTTACCTGGGGTGAATTCTTAGGTAAATGTACTTACTGAAAAGAGATGTTTTCCTGCTTGCTAAATGGAGTAAATGAAATTTGGTATCTAAGTTAATAACTCTAAGATTCCAAATCACAATTAGTCAATTATTTTTCTATACCAAGGCCTAATCACAGTTAAATAGAATATTTCAGGAAGAGCAAATAAAGGAAAATCAAGTGACAAATGCATACTGAATATCTATTATGAGCAAGCAACTCCACTAAACAAGGATTAGTCCAAAATACCCCCTTATTCTCATAATCCAGTTGAAGGATGAAAAATTTAATCAAAATGATGAGAGTACAAGAGAGTAAGTGGTAAACATCAAATAAATGTATTTAAATAAATTGAAGTTAAATTGAAATTAATTAAATGTCTTAGTTCAGGGATTAATCTCACAGACAAAATACTGAATGAAAGAAGCTAAACACAAACAGTATATAATACATGATTCTATTTATATAAAAATCAAGTATAGGAAGAAATAATTATGGTAATAAAAGTCAGAATAATGGTTACTATTCGAGAGGACACTGATGAGGATGTGGCATTAAGAGGTCTTCTGGGATGCTGGCCATGTTCAATTAGTTGATCTTGGGCACGGTTACACGGGTACAGATGGATGTCAAACTTCCTTGAGCTGTACTCTAAAGTTTTATGCACTTTACTCAATATATATTAAACTTCAACTAAAATAATTTAAAAATTCCAAATTTAGGAAGTCAAGATCCTACAAGAGAATTCTGCTCCCAAAGGCCATAATGCCAGTCTTCCATAATTCCACTTCCCCTACTTTCCTCTTGACGGGGATCCCTGGACTTGAATGGGCCCATGTCTGGATCTCCATCCCCATCTGCTGCCTCTATTTAACTGCCCTTTCTGGGAATACCCTGATCCTTTTTGTCATCCTCACTGAGCCAACCCTCCATGAGACCATGTACTATTTCCTCTCCATGTTGTCCACCACTGACATTGGCTTACGTATTTCTACACTGGTGACAGTGCTGGGAATATTCTGGCTCAATGCTCGGGAGATCAGCTTTAACACTTGTTTATCACAGATGTTCTTCATTCACCTCTTCACTTTCATGGAATCTTCAGTGCTCCTGGCTATGGCCTTTGATCATTTTGTGGCCATTTCTAACCCTTTAAGATATGCTACCATTCTAACTCATGCAAGAATAGCACAGATTGGTTTGGCAGTCATTACCAGGGGGACTGTCATTTTGACACCACTAATCCTACTTCTTAAGTGACTGTCATTATGCCGCAGCCACGTGCTCTGCCACTCCTACTGTTTCCACCCTGATGTGATGAAACTCTCATGTTCAGACACAAAGATCAACAGTGCACTACGATTAAGTGCAATCATCTCTACTGCCGGAGTGGACTCCATCTTTATCTTGCTCTCCTATCTGCTGATCATTCGCTCAGGTCTCAGCATTGCATCCCCAGAGGAGAGGAAGAAGGCCTTCAGCACCTGCATTTCTCATATCACTGCTGTTGGCATATTCTACATCCCTTTGATCAGCCTGTCCTTTGTTCACAGATTTGGAAAACATGCCCCACCCTATGTGCCCACCCCCATTGCTAACGTATACTTGCTCATCCCCTCTGTGATGAATCCCCCATCATCTACAGTGTGAAAACAAAGCAGATTCAGAAAGCTGTGCTCAAATTTGTATGTTCCAAGGGAATTCATATTTAACATGTACTACTCCTATAAAGGCTTATTTCAAAGTCTAGAAAATTTACCACAAATTGGAATTATAAACCCATGCATGCAATTTTAGAGTTGAGTGAAACTAAATGCCATCCAATTCAAATGTCTCCACAATGTAATTATCATTGCTAAGCAATCTCTTTTCTACCATCAAAATACTAATTCAGATTCTCACTATCTTAGTTACCTTGTTCCAACAGATGACTAACTGAATTAATGCTTCTATGCTGTTTCTGCTCAACAATCACATGATTCACTTTGAATTAAGATTCCAAATATCCAGCCCTAAGAACATTTTAAAAAGAAACAAATAAATATATATTTTATTTTTATTTCATATGCACCAACTAAATGAAGCAGCAAATCCTGTCTATGGTAATTTCCTCAACAATTTAGGCTTAAACTTTCTTTAAAGTTTCATTCACTTTTTTCTCTTTTCCCATACTCTACAGTCTAAAAATGCCAGTCTGCTTACGACTTCTTCAAATGCATGCAGTTTTTTCATGGTGGACTTTACTGTTGACTCCACTTCAACTTTAACATCCACTTCACTGTGAAGTTCTACTTAGGTTTCAAGGCTCATCTTTAAATATCTTCCTCATTAAATATTTTATGATTGCTCCAGTGATATTTGTTCTCTCCTCATAATTTTCATATTGCTTTGTTCATATCAGTTTTGCCTTTATATGTGTGCACACCTGTGTGTACATTATTATAGCTTTCACAAGACTGTACATTTCCTAAATAAAAAGTCTTGATTTTATTTGAAGGCTCTGTAATACTCAGCAGAACACCTTTCACATAGTAGATACTTATTGATAGTTGTTGAATTGAACTATACAGAAAAACCTATCGAATAATCTATCTAAACAATTCCAGTGATAACTCCCTTGATTCAATACTTGACATGTGTAACACAAGAAATTTCTCTTTCAACTGAGTAAAATTTTTCTGCCTATATTATCTGGTAATTGATCATAGTTCTAACTTTCCAAACTGCATAGTTGAATGGCTATTATGGAACTTTAGGTCTCAGAAAGTTGTCCCCGTTTGGTCCCACATCCAATAAATCTGTATTTCTTGTCTATTCTTTAAAAAAAAATAGATTTAGGGGGCAAAGTTTTGTTACATGGATATATTGCATAGTGCTGAAGTCTGGGCTTTTAGTATAGGCGTCATACAAATAGAGTACCTTACACCCATTAAATCATTTCTCCTCCCCTATCCCACTTCCACCCTCCTACCCTTCCCAGTTACCAATGTCTATTATTTCACTCTAAACGGCCATATGTGCACATTATTTATCCCCTACTTATAAGTGAGAACATGCAGTATTTTACTTTCTGTTTCTGAGTTATTTCATTTAAGATAATGTCCTCTAGTCCCATCAATGTTACTGCAAAAAACATCACTTCATTCTTTTTTATGACTGAGTATGATTCCATGGTATACACTCACCACGTTTTCTTTATCCAGTCATCCACTGTTGGACACTTACAGTTATTCCATATTTTACTATTGTGAAGAGTACTGTGATAAACACATGAATACAGGTTTTAAAAATATATAATAATTTATGTTCCCTTGGGAAACTACTCAGTAGTGGAATTGCCAGCTCAAATAGTAGTTCAATTTTTAGTTCCTTGAGAAATAGCCAAGTAGTTTTCCATAGAGGTACTGGTAATTTACATTCCCACCAACAGTGTGTAAATGTTCTCTTTTCTCCACATCCTCACAAACATCTGTTATTTTTTGACATTTTAATAATAGCCCTTCTGATAGGTATCCATTGTGGTTTTAATCTGCACTTCTCTGATGATTAGTGGTGTTGAGCAATTTTCATAAGCTTGTTGGCCATTTGTATGTCTTCTTTAGAAAACTGTCTGTTAATGTCCTTTGCCCACGTTTTAATAGTTATTTGTTATTGGTTGTTGTTGAGATGTTTGAATTCCTCGTAGATTCTGAATATTAGTCATTTGTTAGATGCACAATTGGTAAATATTTTCTCCCCTTCTGCAAGTTATCTGTTCACTCTGTTGATTAATTTCTTTTGCTGGGCAGAAGCTTCATAGTTTAATTAAGTCCCCTTTATCTATTTTTGTTTCTGTTGCATTTGCTTTTGAGGTCTTAGTCATGAACTCCTTGCCAAGGCAAATGTCCATAAAAGTTTTTCCTAGCTTTTCTTCTAGTGTTTTTATAAATTCAGGTCTTACATTTGAGTCTTTATTCCATCTTGAGTTAAATTTTGTATATGGTGAGAGATAGGTGTCCAGATTCATTCTGCATATTGGCAATCCAATTTTCCCAGCACCATTTATTTAATAGGGTTTCTGTCCTTTCCCCAGTGTATGTTTTTGTCAACACTGTCACAGATCAGCCGGCTGTAGATATGTGGCTTTATTTCTGGGTTCTCTAATCTGTTTAATTGGTCAATGTGTCTATTTTTATACCAGTACTATGCTCTTTTGCTTACTATAGCCTTGTAGTACAATTTGAAGTCAAGTAATGTGATGCCTACAACTTTGTTCTTTTTGCTTAGGATTCTTTTGGCTATTCAGGCTCCTTTTTTATAAGAATTTTAGATTTTTTTTTAATTCTGTGAAAAAAATGATTTTTGTAATTTGTTAGGTATTACATTGAATCTGCAGATTGCTTTGGCAGTATGGTCATTTTAACAATCCTGATTTTTTGATCCATGATTATGGGATATTTTTCCATTTGTTTGTATCATCTACATTTTTTTCCTCAGCATTTTGTAGTTTTCCTTGAAGAGATCTTTCACCTCCTCGATTAAATGAATTCCTACATATTCTTTGTAGCTATTATAAATGAGGTTGAGTTCTTAATTTGGTTCTCAGCTAGATAGCTATTGTTATTTAGAAATGCTACTGATTTTTGTATGTTGATTTTGTATCCTGAAACTTTACTGAATGTATTTATCAAATCTAGGAGTCTTTTGGTGGAGTCTTTAGAATTTTCTAGGTATATGATCATATCATCATCAAATAGAGATAATTTGATTTCCTCTTTTCCAATTTTGATGCATTTCATTTTTTCTCTTGCCTGATTGCTCTGACTAGGACTTCCAGTACTATTTTGAATAAAAGTGGTGAAAGTAGGCATCCTTGCCTTGTTTCAGTTCTTAGAGAAAATGTTTTCAACTTTTCCCCATTCAATATGATGTTGGCTGCAGGTTTGTCATACGTGGCTTTTATCATTTTCAGGTATGTTCCTTCTATGCCTAGTTTCTTGAGGGTTTTTTTCACGAACTCATGCTGAATTTTATCAATTGCTTATTCTGCAACTATTGCCGTGATCATATTTTTTTTAAAAAAAGTCTGCTTATGTGGTGAATCATACTTACTGATTTGCCTACGTTGCGACATCCTTGAATCTGTGGAATAAAACCCGCTTCATTGTTGTGTTTTTTTTTTTTTTTGATGTGCTGTTTGATTCAGTTTGCTAGTATTTTGTTAAGAATTTTTGCATCTATATTCATCAGGGATATTTATCTGTAGTTTTATTTTCATGTGTGTACATGCCTGGCTTTGGTATTGGTGATACAGTCTGCATAAAATGAGTTAGGGGTAATTCCCCCCTCCTTGATTTTTTGGAACAGTTTTAGTTGGATTGGTACCAACTCTTCTTTCTGTGTCTGGTAGAATTTGGCTGTTAATCCATCTGGTTCTGGATTTTTCTTATTTGTAAGATTTTTTATTACTGATTCAATCTTACTAATCGATATTAGTCTGTTCGGTTTTCTATTTCTTTCTGGTTCAGTCTTTGGAGGTTATATTTCCAGGAATGTATTCATTTCCTTGAGGATTTCTAGTTTGTGAGTGTAGAGTTGCTCATAGTAGTTTGTGATGATCTTTTGTATTTCTATGATATCAATTGTAATGTCTCCTTTTTCATTTCTGAGTGTACTTATTTGAATTTCCTCTCTTCTTTTGTTGGTTAGTCTAGCTAGTTGTCTATCAGTTTTTTTATTTTTTCAAAGAACCACCTTTTAATTTTGTTGATTGTTTGTATTGTTCTTTTGGTATTAATTCCATTTAGTTCTGCTCAGATCTTTGTAATTTATTTTCTCCTGCTAGCTTTGGTTCCATTTGTTCTTGTTTTTCTAGTTTCTTGATGTATGATGTTAGGTTAACTTGTGATCTTTCTATTCTTTTGATGCAGGCATTTAATGCTATAAAACTCTCTCTCAGTACTGTTTTTGCTGTATGCCAGAGGTTTTCTTATGTTGCCTATTTTAACACCAAAATATCTTATCTTCACTTTTGGTCTCAGTTTAGGCATCAAAATCCTTTGCCTAAATCAGTTTCCTTAGAGTTCTCTAGGTCTCCAATCTTACCTTTTTCCTCCTTCTGTTTTCCATAAAACATAAAGACCTCTTTAAAAGGTTTTTAATGAAATATTAATATACAAAAAAAAGTTCTCATTAATGAAATATATTTTAGAAAAGGCCAACATCTACCTTGCTATATTCCCCCAAACCCACTCTCTTTCTGACTTCTCTATAGAGGTAACCATTGCACAGTTTTGATTTTTATCCTTTCTTTTTATATTTATATGCATAGATATGGAAAAATAAAATTTAAAACAAATTTTATCCTTTGTATTTCAGATAGTAACAGAGTTTCTTAAGGACACTTTTCCTGTTATTTAAATACTGCATAAAACCAACTAAAGAAACTTGCTCATTACCCAGAATTCCTATGGATCTCACTGTCCCTTCATATTTTCTGTTCAACACTTTCCCAGCTATTAGCCCTCTGTGGTTTCAAACCCTACTGGCTAATTCTCTATACCTCTGTCATATCTATTTGGTAAGCTCATTCTGACTGCTACTTCGTTTAGACATAGAAATGCTGTAGAATGCTATATCTAAGGATTACTTCCTCAGGGTCCACTTGCATCAACCAGTTACTAAGAACCCTACCGCAATTACTCTAGCTTATTGCCAGGATCAATGACCTGGGATTTGGCAGTCTGGTTCACCCTACCCTACTTCAAACATTCATTTTTTACAAATAAGGATAAAATGTGTCACATTTTACAACACTAAACATCCAGCTCAAAGTTTTGTGGCCTTAAGAACTGAGACCAAGAACATTATTCCAATGTATAGCCTTTGTGTGTGTGTGTGTGTGTGTGTGTGTGTGTGTGTGTGTGTGTGTGACAGAGACTTACTCTTGTTGCCCAGGCTGGAGTGCAATGGCACAATCTCAGCTCACTGCAACCTCCACCTCTCTGGTTCAAGTGATTCTCCTGCCTCTGCCTCCCGAGTAACTGGGATTACAGGTGCCCACCACCAAACCCGGCTAATTTTTGTATTTTTAGCAGAGACGGGGTTTCACCTTGTTGGCCCGGCTGGTCTCAAACTCCTGACCTCGTGATCCACCCACCAGCCTCCCAAAGTACTGGGATTACAGGCGTGAGCCACCATGCCCGGCCCCAATTTATATTCTTATTCATCTTTAACAACAGCATGTATTTAGCGCCTACTGTAAATCAAGTAGTGAGATGGATATTGAGAATACAAACATGAACAAGACTAGCTTCTTGCCTTAAGAATACTTAATGCCTAGTGAGGAATATAATTTGCAAAGATATAATTTAAAAAATATTTACTATATAGATTTACCTTCTTTCAAGAAATCTCAATAAAGAACACAACTATTGGATAATTCCTATTACAAGAACTTTAACCAGTAATTCTACTTTACTGCAACCATGGTATAAAATCAAAAACTACTTGACATAGAAATAGGAAGAAAGAACACTAAAATGATAGAAATCACTAAAAGTGAGAATTAATAATGTGAGAAAATACTCGAAATGATAATGCAAGTCAATGGGAACATAAGATTGACTATGAAAATTTTAATTGGCATTCAAATTTTGATAATGGCATCACTTGTCTATGAAGTGTTTTCCAAAGGTTAATCCATAGTCTGAATACATAACAACTATAGTACAAGGCCAAACACATAATTATTGCTTGAGGATCTTGTTAAAAATTTGGATTCCTGATACATCTCTACCAGGGAATATTATTCGGCATTAAAATTAGCTATCAAGCCATGAAAAGACATTAAAGAAACTTAAATACTTACTACTAGGTGGAAAAACATTTTGAAAGGACTGTATACTGTATAACTCCAACTATATGACATCCTGGAAAAGGCAAAACTTTGGAGATATTATAAAAATCAATGGTTTCCAGGAGTGGGGAGGGAGATATAGGAGAATAGACAGAGCACAGAGGACTTTTTAGGGCAATGGAACTATTCTGCATGACACTACAATGGAAGGTATGTATCATTACACATGCATCAAATCCATAGAACATACAACACCAACAGTAAACCATAATTTAAACTGGATTAGTGGTGATAATTTCTTGTCAATGTTGCCTCATAGATAGTGACGAACGTACAAATGTACCACTCCACTGGGAGATATTATGGAGGGGTAGGATGTGCATGTGGCGCTGGGAGGCATATATGGGAATTCTGTACTTTCTGCTAAATTTTGCTGTGAACCTAAAACTTATCTAACAAAGTCTATTAAAATGCAGGATTCTGGGCCCTAGCATCTGAATATTTTGTTTTACTAGTTCTGGGATGAGGCCTGAGAATTTGTATTTATAGTAAGATTTCCAAAGTATACCTGATACTCAGCCAGTCTGGGAAGCCACTGAGCTACAAATGCAACCGTATATTTCTTTGTTGTTTATTATTCCAAATCTAAAACATATTCGTTTTGATCTTTGTCTGTGGGGAAGAAAAATATTTATTTTGGTGGAACAACCGGGTGTGAAACCAAGAATATCAAGTGGCTTCAGTGGTTTCCTTCCCAAAGGAGGTAAGAAAACTATATGTGTACACTTTTTATATTAGTCAAAATTTATAATTTTCATAACATCGAATTTTAATAAGTCATAGCAAGTCAAAAAAGAAACATCTCAGTAATTGCAATACATGAAACTATGTATAATAAATTCTGGAGATCTGATGTATAGCATGGAGACTATATTAATTATATTGTATTGCATACTGTCTTTGATAAGAGACTGCATATTAAATCTTCTTATCACAAAATATAAAGAAGAAGAGGTGATTATGGAAGGTCATAGATAGGTTAATAACCTTCATTGTGATAATCATTTCACAATGTATATGTATATCAAAACATCACACTCTACACTGCACATATATATAATTTTTAGCAATTGTCCCTTAATAAATCTAATAAAATTTTTTTAAAGAAGAAAAGAAACCACACGGGAGAATAAGTAGATTTGGGCATGCAGAATGACTCCAAAGCACAAAGGCAAAACAAGCAAATACAATTTATCAGAAAGATCCCTTAAGAATAAGTTTTTTTGTGGGGCGAGGTAAATGATCCTCATAGGGCTGAGTTCCTCATAAATATCCTCTATTCTGGGAGCTGAATTGGACCTCAGAGCCCTGCCTCTTCCTCATCCTCTTCACTGAATGTAAGTACAGGGGCATCCAAGAGACAATGGTCATGCATTAACGTTAGACGATTTATGTTGACTCATTTTGCAGGAAGAGAATTGTCTTTAAAAGAGAATATATTTCTAAAAGAAAATTGTAGCAGACATAAAAACACAAAATGCTGTTGAATTGCCTTTGAATTAAGAATTTACAATAGGAAATGTCCTAGTATTTTATTATTTAAGGCAGCTTAAATTTTTTAAAAAACTAGAGATTCTTTCTAATGTGCTGAACCTTCATTCTGAAAATGTCCATAAACAATAAAATTCTGGAAAAAAATCAAGGAAATACGGTCAGTGTGAAACCTAGTTGAGATTTCTAAGATAAAATATTTAAATTATAGTATCCCTGAAGAGTAGAAATAGACATGGGGAGTAAGAATAGTCCTGCTAGGCACGGTGGCTCACACTTTTAATCCCAGCATTTTGGAGGCCAAGGCAGGAGGATCACTTGAGTCCAGGAGTTTCAGACCAGCCTGGGCAACACATTATCTCTAAAAAAAATACAAAAACAAATTAGGTGGTAAGGTAGAGTGAGTCTGTGATCCTACCTGCTCAGGAGGTTGAGGCGGGAGTATCACTTGAGCCCAGGAGGTCAAGGCTGCAGTGAGCTATGATCGTGCCAATACACTCCAGCCTAGATGACACTGTGAGACCCTGTTTCAAAAAACAAACAAACCCGAGTAGTCCAAAAATTGAATTTGACTCATTAACGTATAATTCTGTTGTTAAAATAATGTGATTATTTAAGCAGAATCAAACAATATGGGAAATCTGGGGTCATATGCCTGGAAGTGCAGTGCTGAGTCTCAAAAAGAAGTAATTTGTCCAAATATTACAGTGATTTATCATTAATAGGGTTTAAGTTTTTAATTATTTCTCTAGTAGTGGGAATGGTATTGTATCATTTGTAATAATAGACATTAATTTCCCTAAAGAGATTAGGACATTCATGCCAGGCTGATAAGGAAAAGATGGACATGTCAGTTAACTTAGGTTACATATGTTAGCAGTGTCTATGAAAATGAGCAAAGCTAATCTAAGTATCCATAGCTCAAATCCTTAATACTAACAGCCCCTATTATATAATAGAAACTAATCAATTTTACCAATAGTCTTCATAATTTAGCACATAAGGAAATAATTGCTTTTCAATTCTCCTGAATATTGACAAGAAAATGAGTTTTAAATAGAGTAACAAACATCAGGAAGAGAAAAATAAGCCTATCAAGTGTCAAGTGTTTGAAAACCTGATGCCTGTGCATTTATATGACTATGAAGAGCCAGGGGACAGTGACAGTATACAGCTGTTGAGGGAAAAGAAAATCACATAAACACTTGCCTTTTTAATAATTCACATACATGTGTAACACTATAGTTTATTTTTTATTAAAATTATTAATAAAAATTAATTATTCCACTAATTTTCACCACCATAGAAAAGCATTGATGTGTAGCATAATGGAGCTTTTAACAAATTTTAAATTTACACGGATGGAATTAAAATCCAGCTTTTTCAATAGATGAAAGAGTGCAAATTATTTAACCTCTCTAATTTTTTATCTTGCATGGCTAATACCCTGTAATCTTATAAGTATATGAATTTTAAATTCAATGAAATAATTCACATAAACCACATAGTACCAGGCCTGACACATTGTAGGATTCTATCAATGGTAGGTTTCAACTACCTTGCAAAGTAGTTATAACTATTATCATCTCCAATTTACCAATGAATAAAGAGCATCGGCAATATTCTAAGTTAGCCCTTTGGTTCCAAAGTTTTTGTTACTATTAAATATCAAACACCTCCTCTTCTTTCAAACTATATTACCCAAGATTCTCCAAGAAAAGAGAACCAACTGAATTTCATATATATATATAAAAATTGAGGAAGGCCATCTGCTTTACTCAGTCCACCAATTCAAATGCTAATCTCTTCTGGAAAAACCTTCCCAGACATACCCAGAAATAATGTTTAATCATATATCTAGGCATCCGGCGACCCAGTCAAGTTGACACATGAAATTAACCATCATACCCCTCCCCTCATGCCCACGTTTTTCCAACTATACTTGGAACTTAGGTCTCAGTCTAGACACCATTATTTGCTGGAAACCATTCCTTATTCCGCAAAAGGAGCTTGTTTCCCTCTTTATGTGCTGTCGTAGCATTCCAAATTTACTATCCACACTATAATTCCACTATACTTGTCTTTGTCCTCTAGTCAACTACTCATGATGAGGTCAGGGACTTTGTTGTGATTAACATTTAATTTCCTATGCCTTGTCCACAGTAGATGTACAGTACATATTTGCTGAATTACTGAATGTATCTGTCTGATTTTCAGTATTTGTGCTTGGATTAAAGTGACTGTTTTGTCACATAGCATTGGAAACTCACCACTGCTCCATTTCTGGCTCATGCTGTGCGTTAGAGCAGGGTTTCTTAGAAGTACTATCTCACAGTCTCCCTCTTGCTGGCTCTAGTTTTGTCCTCTGTATGGCGCACAGATCAAATGTAATTACTTTCCAGTAAAGCAACATTCAACCATTTGAACATAGCCATATGTTTGTTCTTAGCCTTCTCTTTTTCTGGCTGATTATACATTTTGTAACTTCCAAGCGTCCCTTTTTTCTTTATGCACCCATTATTGTAATTTCTTTTTCTTGTTGTTTTTGGTTTGTTGTTGTTGTTGTTGTTTTAATTTCTATTTTACTTTAAGTTCCAGGATACATGTGCAGAATGTGCCGGTTTGTCACATAGGAATACGTGTGCTATGGTGGTTTGCTTCACCTATTGACCTATCCTCTAAGTTCCCTCCCCTCCCCCACCCACCCCCAACAGGCCTCATGTGTGTTGTTCCCCTCCCTGTGTCCATGTGTTCTCATTGTTCAACTCCCACTTATGAGCGAGAACATGTGGTGTTTGGTTTTCTGTTCCTGTAGTAGTGTGCTGAGGATGATGGCTTCCAGCTTCATCCATGTCCCTGCAAAGGACATGATCTCATTCCTTTTATTGACTGCATAGTATGCATGGTATATGTACCATATTTTCTTTACCCAGTATATCACTGATGGGCATTTGGGTTGGTTACATGACTTTGCTATTGTAAACAGTGCTGCAATAAACATACATGTGCATGTGTCTTTATAGTAGAATGATTTATATTCCTTTAGGTATAACCCAGTCATGGGATTGCTGGGTCAAATGATATTGCTGGATCTAGATCTTTGAGACCTCAGAAATAACACCACACATCTACATCTATTTGCTCTTTCACAAAACTGACAAAAACAAGCAATGGGAAAAGAATCTCCTAATCAACAAATGGTGCTGGGAAAACTGGCTAGCCATATGCAGAAAACTGAAACTGGACCCTTTCCTTACACCTTATACAAAAATTAACTCGGGATGAATTAAAGACTTAAATATAAAACCCAAAGCCATAAAATCCCTAGAAGAAAACCTAGGCAATACCATTCAGGACAGGCATAAGCAAAGACTTCATGATGAAAACGCCAAAAGCAATTGCAACAAAAGCTAATATTGTCCTTTCAATACATCTTGGCAAGAACAAGACCAATAAAATCAATGCTTTTAGGCCACTGGAATATCATGTAATAAAATTAATGTCATTCTGTGGAAGGGACTAAAATGTCTCTAAGGTACTTTCCAGTTATAAAATTCTAGGACTCTACATGACTCTAAAATGGTATGAATTAAGATATTTAAATTCAATGTTCCAGGTTGTCTTGGAGGAGATGTCCAAAGCCAAAATATAGTTTCTTTTTTTTTTTTTTTTTGACAGAGTCTCACTCTTGTTGCCCAGGCTGGAGTGCAGTGGTGCAATCTCGGCTCACTGCAACCTCTGCTTCACGGGTTCAAGAGATTCTCCTGCCTCGGCCTCCTGAGTAGTTGGGATTACAGGCGCCCACCCTCATGCCCAGCTAATTTTTTGTATTTTTAGTAGAGATGAGGTTTCACTATGTTGGCCAGGCTGGTCTCAAACTCCTGACCTTGTGATCCGCCTGCCTTGGCCTCCCAAAGTGCTGGGATTACAGGCATGAGCCACCGCCCCCAGCCCCAAAATATTATTTCTTTGTAAATCCTCCTGCTGTGACTTTTCTGCCTATGACCACCGTTTTTTAATATTAACTTTCTTGGTCATTTATTTTATTTAAATTAAATGAGTTTAAATTTCTATTGATGGTTCTAGCCATAAGTGCATTATTTTTTATTGTAACTTTATTCTTCTAATATGTATAACTGTTAAAATGTTCTTCTAAAATTATCTGATGAATAAGGATCTTATTTTTATTTTTTATATTAATTTTGGAATGATGTCAGGAAACTGAATGATAAACTGATTTTATTTTAGTTAATATACTCTTCCGTCAAATATGCAGTTAATGGAACAAGAATCACTTCATAATCAGCAAAGTGGCTATTCCATACTCACTATAATCCATACCTGAAATTTTCTATATGAGACCTTTGCCATAATATTTCATATATTTAGGATATTAAATAATGCCCACAAGCTTATTGTTGTGACATTTTTAACTGCAATTACATTGAATAAAAAAATGGAGATTATCTAAGTCAACCCTTCTTACTATTAACATTAAATGGCAAGACCAAAGACATATGGCTATTTTGTGGCTGATTCAAAACTGAGCAGCCTTAGATGAAAAATATGCCAGCTTCTCAGTGGCCTATAAGAGCAGGAGTAAAAGCTGAGACTGGACAGCAATAGTAGATAGAGATAAAAAAAAAAGTAGTCAACAATACAACATGCAGTCCTAAGAGGTATCATAAAGTAAGATTTGGAGCTAGAATATTTCACTAGTGAAGGAGGTAAAATTGTGTGGCTATAACACAGCTGCATGAGTATATTCTCCATATCAAGTGGTTGGAGTCATCATAGTTCTGAATGTCCATGAATGACCAGTGGGATTCTAGCCAATGCCTAGGTCTAGAGAAAATTGCCCCATCTTCTTGAGGTCAAGAAGAACAAAACATTAATATTCAAAGCACTACCAGATTGGCTTAGTGAGGGTCTTAGCAAGATTTTCCAGTACCTAAGAGTCCCAGATGACAAGAATAAAGTCAACATGGAAAAGAAGAAAGGAAAGAGAAGAAAACTCACCTAGGACCTCACCTGCATGGCAATAAGACTCATTTCAGATGCCACTTCCCGGTGGAGTTAAAAGCTCAAGTGTTATTTACCTTGATGAAGATAGACTTTGAAAGCCTACTGTCCTGAGTTTTGTATGTAAGCAAAGGGTGGCAATAATTGCAACAATATTGGGCTAGAAAGGGAAGTGTCTTATATCAGGCCTCTGTGTATCTAGTTCACTCCTATCCCTGAAGCTTAATACAGTTGGCTTTTAAAAGACTAATTGCTAAAGGTGGTGTGACAGATAATTTTCTTCAACAGTTATATATCAACTCAGCTATAGTGACAACAGATAAGAAAATCAAGAAACAAGATCAGAAGTGTAAACCTAGACTAGAAAAAACTCTAGCAAGGTACGGGTTAAATCCATTGACCAAGCAATAGCAAATGGGCTATTTTGACTTGTATAGAATTATTTCTTTATATAAAATTATTTCCTTAAAAGGCTACATATATATAATGTATGATAAAGTTCCATGATCATAGAGGTTTTTTTTTCTTAAGGCAGGTTAGTTTAATTTTATAGAAGGAACGCTTTCAAAAATTCAAATGACATAATTAGAGAAAAAAGTGACAAAAAATGAAGAGATGAATACTGATTATAACTTATTCCCAGGACAAAAGGCTATTTATTTCTGTAATTATTGACCAAAGGCTGACAATTCCATAATTAGATGAGGTAAAAGCCAAATTCTTTTTTACATATATTACTGTTTCAAAACAATCCTAGTGGCAGAATTCTGACTACTGAGACAAGAACTGCTCATAAAATCTGGAAGTTTTTTTCTTTATCACAAGGCCCTGTAGATGGACAAATTTAAACATCAGATGAAAACACCCCTTAAGCTGATAGAACTTCACTTTTCTGGTTGATGAGATATTTTCTCACGGTGGCAGTCTTAACCAGTAAGAATCTGCAAAACCACATTATGAATGAGAAGCAAAATAAGGTGCTTCATGTCCTCCTGCCTCCTCAGGCTAGCCTCTAATGCCCACATCTGCACAAAACTGCCCGGCTCTCCTGTCTTCATTTGTCTTGATTTTCTTTCTTTGCAAAGAAAGCAAATTGCAGAAGCAGACACAGGAAGGGAGGCAGCAAGAGAGGTAAGAAGGAAAGGTGGCAAACATGAATGCTCCTTGGACAGATACCAAAGCAGGAGCTGAATTTTTTTCCTGTGGGCCATCAGTGGAATTCTTGTTTTAAAAAAAACCCAGCCAGGCTTAGTGGCTTACACCTGTAGTCCTACTGCTTGAAAGGCTGAGGCAAGAGCATCACTTGAGGCCAAGAGTTTGAGTCTCCACAAAAAGCAAACAAACGAAAAATAGTGGGGCATGGTGACTAGAGCCTGTAGTCCTAGCCACTCAGGAAACTGAGACAAGAGGAGTTTGAGAAAGCAGTGAGCCATGATTGCACCATGCAGTAGAGTTTTTAAACAAATATTCACATACATGTATATTTTTCTTAAATAATAAATTTTACTTTTAAAAATGAATACCACTTTGAATTCCCCAATTAACTTACGGTATTTTCAATTTACTTTGGATCTCTTTGTGTGGACAGTACAAAGGAACGGAGAAACTGACTTAGGGTCAAAGTGAAAGGGGACCAAAAGTACCCCTGGGTTTTTTTGTTTTTGTGTTTGTGTTTGTTTTGTTTTGTTTCAGACAGAGTTTCACTCTTGTTGCCCAAGCTGGAGTGCAAAGGCGTGATCTCGGCTCACCGCAACCTCCGCCTCCCGGGTTCAAGCGATTCTCCTGCCTCAGCCTCCCAAGTAGCTGGGATTACAGGCATGCACCACCACGCCAGGCTAATTTTGTATTTTTAGTAGAGACGGAGTTTCTCCATGTTGGTCAGGCTGGTCTCAAACTCCCGACCTCAGGTGATCCACCCACCTCGGCCTCCCAAAGTGCTGGGATTACAGGCGTGAGCCACTGTGCCTGGCCACCTCTGGGTTTTGAAAAAAAGAGGTGCTATTCTGTATTGTGAATCAGGAAACAAGAATCATGAAGAGGAAGTTCAACTCAGCAGGGAAAAAAATATCAAAACTGGGAAGTAGAAAGGAGACGTTAAAATCCTAAAAATAATCTCCAATTTGATTTATCTGACTACAGTTATTAGAAATCATAACAAAACTGATGAATGGTTTTATCATTTCTCATTCTAGGACATTTATTGCAACAGAATTATTCTTCCATAGTAATCATGTCATCTTTTCTTAACATCACTTCCTCTTCTCTGATCTTTTTCCTGACTGGAGTTCCAGGACTAGAAGTTGCTCATGCCTGGATCTCCATCCCCTTCTGCTGTCTCTACATAACTGCTCTCTCTGGAAATGGTGTCATTCTATTTGTCATCATCACTGAGTCCAGTCTCCACGAACCTATGTACTATTTCCTCTCTATGCTCTCAACCACTGACCTGGGCTTGTGTGTTTCGACACTAGTCACTATGCTGGGCATATTCTGGTTCAATGCAAGACAGATCAGTTTCCACGCCTGTGTTGCCCAGACGTTCTTCATTCAACTTTTTACTGTCATGGAGTCCTCAGTGCTTCTGGCAATGGCCTTTGATCGCTTCATTGCCATTTGTAACCCCCCGAGGTATACTACCATCTTGACTGATTCCAGGATCGTCAAAGTATGGTTTGCCATCCTTGTCAGGGGGACCGTGATCCTATTGCCTCTGGCCCTACTTCTTAAACATGTCCTTCTGCCAAAGTCATGTGCTCCATCATTCCTACTGTTTCCATCCTGATATCATCCAGCTGTCATGTTCTGACAATAAGATCAACAGTGTTTTAGGACTCACTGCCCTCATAGTTACTGCAGGAGTGGACTCCATCTTTATTCTTCTCTCCTATATCCTGATTATTAAGACCGTCCTAAGCATTGCTTCCCCAGAGGAGCGGCATAAGGTCTTTAGCACTTGTATCTCCTACATAGGTGCTGTTGCCATTTTCTACATCCCTCTCATTAGTTTGTGCTTTGTCCATAGGTTTGGGAAAAGAGCGCCTCCTTATGCCCACACTCTTATGGCCAATGCATATTTGCTTATTCCACCAGTGATGAATCCTATTATTTATAGTGTGAAAACCAAGCAGATCCGTAGGGCCATTAAAAAAATCCTTTTTCCCAAGGAATCTGTGTTGTGACTCTAATACTTCTGAAATAAAATCTACTCCCTTCTTATCAACTCCAAGACATAGTGTTTAATCAATAATCCCTTATATCAGTGACCTCACATTTTTTTTAAGTAGAAGGTTGCATAGGGGATGCAGTTTGGTGGAAATTTATTCTTTATATTTAATAGAATTACTACTAATCTACTCTTAAGGAATGAACAATGAAATATCTTAATATTATGAAAATGTTACTAAAGGTTTGGAAGTATGAATAATAATGGCTGAAATGAGCACTTTCTTCATGAGACCAAACCTCCGAAATTATATGTAAAACAATAAGTCATATATTCTGTTCTATTTGATTTTTAAATATAACTAATAAAATTATTAAGTGTTTTTTACTTTTTGATTAAATTAGAACTATTGTCTATTATTCTGAAATATAATTTAATCACCACTGATTCATTCTTTCATTTACTGAGGGTCTACTATTGCGAGATGCTAAACAATATTACAGAGTGGCAGAAACAAACAATATATTGTTATAATTTTTGAAATACATAGATTAAAAAACAACCATTCAAAATCTGATTACTATGTAATATGTTAGGATATATAGATACTGGCAACAGGAGTAATAAGAATATATAAGACAAATGTTAAATCCAGCCTGGGAACCATCACAATGTGTTGTTTGAGCTATAAGGTAAGGGGAGAGATCCATTTCTATAATGATAGCATGAGGAGCTCTGAGGACACACTATTCGAGGGAACATCCATAAACAGTGAGGTACACACACACACATGCACGCATGTATATCTGTATATATAGCTATACAACCATATAGATATATACACACACACATATATATAGTGATATAGACATAACCATTTAAATTCTCTGGAAATTGCTCTAAGGGCATATAGTCAATGAAAAACAATTCAAGAAAATGTGTTAAATCATTGTGAAAACAGTGAGATTCTGTGGTGCTTGAACTAAAGCCAGCTTTGGCCCTTCCCTTCCCCACAGCTAGGCATACTGATAGCTGATAGCTCCACTCCAAGTAGGCGTAGCCAAGAACACAGGGCTTTCTCCTTCTTCCCCCAGACCCTCCTCAGTTCTCAGTCCAGACCACCAATATGTCTCACCCCGGCTCCATATTGCAGAAGCTAACCTCCAGGTGAGTGCAGCCAAGAGGTCAGTGACTCCCTTCATCCACCCAGCCCTCACTCATAGCTGTATGCCAGGCATAGCTGTCAGAGAATACTGGGGACCCATCACCCTTTCCCCAGCTCAATCCTAAGGTGCAGTACTCATGCCAAGAGATACAAGCTGAAAATATGCTATGCGATGCTATTCTGCCTATGCCCTGCTTATATAAATATGCTATGCGATGCTATTCTGCCTATGCCCTGCTTATATAAAAGGAGTGTAAGTCCAAGAGGAAAGGGACACAGGGGAATTAAGTTAGAAATTAACAATAAAGATTTACAAATTCACAAATATGTGAAAATTAAATAATACATTCCTAAATAACCCACGGGTCATAAAAAAAATCCCAAAGGGAATTAGAAAATGGTGTGAGATTAATGAAAGTGAAGACGCCGCGTACCAAAACCTGTGGGATGAAGCTAAACACCGCTTTAAATAGGAAAATGTACAGCTGTAAATGCCTTTATCCAAAGGAAATAAATCAATAGCCTAAACTTCCATTTTAAGACATTGAGGAAAAAAAGGAAGAACTAACTAAACCTAAATCAAGCAGAAGGAATAAAAGAATGTTTAGATTAGAAATTAATGAAATAGAGAATAGAAAAAACAACAGTCAACAAAACAAAGTTAATTATTTGATACAAGTGAATTAGTAAATGTAAAACTTCTCAAGAAGGAAAACATGGACCTAGATGATTCAGTGGCAAATTTCACTAAACACTTAAAGAAAAATTAATATCAATTCTTCATAAGCTCTTTCAAAAATAGAAGAGTAAATACATTCCAACTCATTTTATGAAGCCATTTTATCATGATGTCAAAACTATGCAAAGACATCATAGGAAAAGAAAATTGTTAAGATTTCTTGTGAATATAGATGAAAACATCATCAATTAAATATAGCAAACTAAATCCAGCAACATATAAAAAGGATTATACACCATGACTAAGTGAAATTTATTCCAAGAATGCAAAGTTGATTTAACATTAGAAAAAAAGCTGTAGAACAATGAATAGGATAAAGAACAAAAACTACATGATCATCTCAAAGGTGTAGAAGAAGCATTTGACAAGATTCAACTATCATTTTTGATAACAACACTCAACAATGTAGAACAAAAAGGAATTTCGTCAACTGATAATAGACATTTATGAAAAACCCACAGGTAATATGATCCTTAATGGAGAAAGTCTGAATATTCCCCTCTAATATAATGAAAAAGACAAGGATGTCCACTCTCATCCATTTTATTCAACATTGCCCTGGAGGTTCTAGCCACAACAGCTAGACAAGGCAAGGAAATAAAATCCAGGGAAAGAGGAAGGTAAAACTATTTCTATTTGCATTGACATCATCTTTTGTATAGAAAATTCTAAGAATTTTCTACTAAATTTTTTAATCTACTAAATATTAAAACTAATAAATGGGTTCAGACAAGTTGCAGAACAAGAGATAAATAAAAAAAGCAATTGTATTTCCATACACTAAAAATGAACAATCTAAAACTGAAATTAAGAGAAAAATTCCATTTACAATAGCATCAAAAAGAATAGATTAGTTAGAAATAAATTCAATTAAAGAGGCATAAGACTTTCACACTGAAAATATCATACACCAAAATATTGCTGAAATAAATTAACCTTGGAACAACGTGTTATAAATGTAAATGGAACAACATGTCATATTCATGGATTTGAAGACTTAATCTCGCTAAGATGGCTGCAATTTCCAAGTTGGTCTACAAATGTAATGTAATCGACATCAAAATTCAATCTTGCTTCTTTGCATAAATTGTCAAGCTGGTCCTAAAATACATATGGAATTTTAAGGGTTCCAGAAGAGCCAAAATAATCTTGAAAAAGAAGAGCAAAGTTGGGTGTTGCATACTTACTAATATCAAAATTTATTACACAGCTGCTGTTATCCAGACAGTACATAGTACTGGCATAGGATAGACATATCCCTCAGTGAACTGGAATTGAGAGTCCAGAAATATACACTCACGTGTCCTGTCAGCTAATTTTTAACCAGGGTGTCAAGACAGCTCAATGAAGAAAGAATGGTGTTTTCAACAAATGGCGCTGCCGCCCAAATTTCCACCAACTAAAAAATGAATATACAAAATGTGATGGAACCATGCAATGGAATATTTATTCAGCTATAAAAAGGACTGAAGTACTAATACTTGCCACACAATGTATAAACCTTGAAAACAGTGCACCAAATGAAAAAAGCCAGTCACAAATGCCCAATATTGTATGATTCAATTTATATAAAATCTTCAGAATAGGCAAATCTATAGAGACAAAAAGTAGATTAGTGATTGCTCAGGGCTGAGAGGGATGGAGAGCAATGAGGTGCGACTGCTTCTGGATAGGGTGCTTCTCTTGGGGTTCATGAAAATTTTCTTTTTTTTTTTTTTTTTTTTGAGACGAGTCTCGCTCTTTTGCCCAGGCTGGAACAAGTAACACATTAAGTACAGCCACAAAACTTCATGAATATACTAAACATCATTAATTTTTACATTTTAAATGAATGAATTGTATGTATGTGAATTGTATCACAAAAAACTATTGTATTAAAAAAGAATTAAAGATTCCATAAGGAAGGTAATCTTTAATTCCTAGCCTATAAAAATAAGAAGAAAAAGATTACATTCACAGTTTCCCTGGAATATAAGTAAGCTTATAATCAGTGATCCATAAAGATAGGGAATTCATAAAAAGATACAACAAAAGATGAAATAACATTGACAGACAAACTGCAGCCCAAAATATGTACAGGAGAATATCGAACGAGAAGTGGAAGCAATTCAATGGGATGGTTCAGTCTCTGAGGTGTGGATTGGTAAACTCCATTGTAATGACCAGTCATTTTACTGCTCCACTAACCCCACCCTGGCCTATTTGTGCCATCCTTTAGGACACAAAGAGATATTTGCCTCAAGGTGGGAAGAATGAATGTGGGTGGTTTCTCCAAGGTAGGTCTACACTTCAACTCACTGGCAACATCCAGGAGGAACAGAGAACCCCATACCCAGATAAAGAGCTAATAGTCTACCATGCCTCCCGATGACAGGATATCTTATCCTTTCCCCACAATACAGAAGGAAATCCATCCATAGTGAATAGACACAATACCTACAAAAACATGAACACAAAATATTAAATACAGCGAAGAATCCCTAAATACATCATTTCTGGTGGGCTATGAATTGACAGGAAATAGCCACATGTATGAACCCACACATGTGCATGCACACATGCACAAAAACTCTTTAACATTAGATTAAGTAATAGAACATTAAATTCAGAATATTATAGAAAATGTCCCCACACCAGAGGTATATACGTAGGCATATCTTATAGTGCCTTTCCTTATCGTCTAGAAACATCAGTGTGGAAGGAGAGGGTAAGGGACAGCAAAGCCACTGACAACTGTCTTTACATGTCAGGGTACAGACAGATCAGTGCCAGATGTCCTAGCTAGCCGTAGTCCTTATGCCAGTGGATACTTAGAGCTCTCATCTTCATACTGAAAAAACTTACACAAATGAGCTATACATTTAATGGGAGAAAAGAAAGAAATGATTGTGGGCCCTCTTGGCATTCAAGAAAAATTCAGTGTCAGCGAGGCCACACCAAATTGTGTGTGTGTTGGGAGTGGTGGGGAAGCTGATTCAGTGTGTCCATCTCTAAAACCCAAAGTGGCCTACTGAAAATAGTGCATCTGGCCAGGCACAGTGGCTCACACCTGTAATCTCAGCACTTTGGGAGGCTGAGGCGGTCACCTGAGGTCAGGAGTTCAAGACCAGCCTGGCCAACATAGTGAAACCTCATCTCTACTAAACATACAAAATTAGTCTGGAGTGGTGGTGCACGCCTGTAATCCCAGCTACTCGAGAGGCTGAGGCAGGAGAATCACTTGAACCTGGGAGGTGGAGGCTGCAGTGAACCAAGATCGCACCATTGCATTCCAGCCTGGGCAAAAAGAGTGAAACTCCATCTCAAAATAAATAAATAAATAAATAATAAATAATAAAGAATGGTGCATCTTTGTGGTGTTTGGAAATGAAAGATGCAATATTTTTCGTTTGCTGTGGAAGAGATGTCCCAGCATACCTCAGACTACCAGACCACTGAAAGTTTTACTGATGTAGCAGGGTGCAGCATCTTTGTAGGGTCTACCAGCTATCCTTGGGAGTTCTTGTCATCTCATATGGTTAGTATGGTTTCATAATCTCATCAGTATGGTGGACCAGTGTGATTCTCTAAGGGATGTCTTACTGCTCCAGGTCTCTCAGACTGCATTGTGATAGAGATCCAGAGAGACAACGTAGTCTTGAGTGCATACTATCGTACATTATGACTAAAGGCAAACTGTTTCTATTCCTCAGTTTATCTCATGAATGGAAAAATATCAATAGCCACATAACATGCATTGGAAGCTGTGCTAATCTGATCTAACAAAGCAGCAGCAAATAGGGCTCCTGTTTGGTTGAGTATGCAGTAGTCACCTATCACTCTCAATGCTCGCTTGCTCTCTCTCTCTCTCTCTCTCTCTCTTTCCCAGAAACCTAAGTGTTAAAATAAAAGGAGATGTGATGAGAAATTCTTTCTCTGCATCCTGGCTCTTTAGTGGTGCTATTAATGTCTGTCATCCCCTTCCAATACTGATTCCAAAACTTAAGGAGAAATCAGGTTGCACCTATCCCACAGGGGAAGTTAAGACTATATCTGGAACTCAGAGGTTTCACTGGGGCACCTCGTATGTCCCATATCTAATAGTAAAGGCAAAGGAAATATTAAAGCAACCCAATAAGGGAAAGACCAATGGGAACACAGTCCTTTGGGGAATAAAAATTTGGGTAAACCACCAGTCAAAGTGAAAGCTAAAGAAAAGGTGATGTGTATTAGTTTAGCGGGCTTAAAGAAAACGATAAATGTAAAACATTGTCTCATGACCAGCTACAAAAATGAGGGCTGTATTATCTATGCATTTTAATGCAAATATATTAGCCAGTTATTTTCCCTTTCCTCACTACCTTGTATGAGGAGTGCAGATATTACTTAACTTTACGATGCATCACGTAGGTCATCAGACCACAAAAATCCATGCCTGATCAGATTGGGAGAATTGTTTACCACTTGGGCTTCCTGGATTTGCAATGAACTCAATGAGAGGCTTTCTCATTTGCACTTTTGACAGAGAAAAGGAAAGTTATGTTATATATATATATATGCTCACACCTGTTAGGTTAAATCATGAAGTCATTAAATATATTTGATGAATAGCAAAAAGAATGGACTGTGATTATCTTGAACATGTTTGCCCTCAAATCCGTTTATTTCCCCTATTTTACTCTGCTCAATACCTCCAAGGAGCTGAACCTTGCAGGCTAGCTATCTCAGCCTTCCATGTTAACCGTATTCTAGTTGGGTTTGGCCCATGGGAGAAACTAGTTAAGTCTGAAGGTGAGGCAAGGAGTTAAGAAGTTTCTTCCTGCCCCTCTCTGTCTGGGGCAGCTTCTCTGGCAGTGTTGCATTTTCTCCACATTTCCACCTTCTGTCAGGGTGTCACAGCTCCTGAGCTCCAATAACACCAAGGAGATTCCAGCCATGAGGATGTAGTAGCTTGCTGCAATCAGGTTACCTCACCATCACCTGCTTGGCTGTCAGGATTCTCCATCACATAAGTAAAAACATCCTTTGAAAATATTTGTAGTGGCTTCTAATTTTCTGCTTAAACTCTGACTTTTACATTGTATCGCCCAACAATTTAACTTACATATGAACTAGGAAGATGCTTATGGTACAATTTTTAAAGCTTTGGATAAAAATATTTAATATTTAATATTTAATGAAAAATATTTAATTTTTTTAGTCATGGCAAAAAATTGGAACAATTTAAATGTCTGTGACTAGGGAGATGATTTTTTATGCAAAGCATGTAGTATTTTTCTAACATAAAATACTACACACAAGTTTTTAAACCATATATAATTATATAAATATTATATACATCAACGTGCATGATCTCAAAATAGATTTAGTTAATAAAGCAAAATGCACATTGAATATTGAATATGTAAAATAGAATGCATTTACTTGATTTTAAAATTTCTAAACAATTCCATGTGCTCTGTGTGTATGTTTGTGTATGTGCAGGTGTATATATTCAAGAAAAATTTAAAGACTTTAAAAGGAATGATGCTTACCACTTTCAGAATAGTGTTTACCTCTAGCAAGCACCTCCTAAGAAAAAAAGGGGAAGACTATTAAGAGGGGACAAAAGGCAATATTTTGCCTTAGATCATATTTGTCAGAAAAAAATTCTGAAATAGAGATTTGTATGCAGAAAACTAATTAAAGTATCCTTTTTAAAATAGCATCCATAATAGAAGGGAGGCCTGACTGGGCAAAAGGGGATCTGAATTCTCTCACACTTATAACAGAGGCCACAAGTCCCATGGGCACTCCAGGGCTGAAATGGCCCTTCAGAGTTGTCTAGGCAAGGGGGACAAGGCCTCTGTACTCCTCTACTGATCAGTCACTGGATAAGTCCCATAGTAAACTTGGGTGTGGCAACTCCACTGGTCCGAGGGCAATTTCTAGAGAGGGACTCAGCTATAAGCTGTCAGTACCCAGTACTCTGGAAAGCTATGGAAATCATGCCTTCATTATGAAGACAAGATTAATATGTGTAAGTTTTAATTTCTTCTTGGATTATAATATAATGTTTAACAAGGAACCATTTCCCTATGTTAAATTACTCAGGTCCTTTCCAATTTTTCATGCCATGTGAAAATCCAATTGTGACTAGCATCTTTATTAATAACTTTTTCATATCTTATTTTTCCTTGAATATATCATTTTAATTCAAATTACTGAATTTTACAAGTTAATAATTTAGACCTCCTAATACATACCTTGTTTTTAAAATTTTACTTCTCAGGAGAACTGTACCAATTATACTCCCAATAACTGATCATGAGTATATTCTGCTCACTTACACTCAGCAGTGTTGTGACATTTTTACTTAAATATTTTCTAATTTAATAGTTGGATAATGACAGCTCATTATTTTGTTCTATGACTTCTTGATTACTACTAACTCTGAAGAGAGAAGATTTTTGTTTGTTTGTTTTTTGTTTTTTGTTTTGAGACACAGTCTTGCTCTGTTGCCCAGGATGGAGTGCAATGGCACGATCTCAGCTCACTGCAATCTCCACCTCCCGGGTTCAAGCAATTCTCTCACCTCAGCCTCCAAGTAGCTGGGATTACAGGCGCCCGCCACCATGCCTGACTGATTTTTGTATTTTTATTAGAGACGGATTTTCACCATGTTGACCAGGCTGGTCTCGAACTCCTGACCTCAGGTGATCCACCCGCCTCGGCCTTCCAAACTGCTGGGATAACAGGCATGAGCCACCGTGCCCAGCCAAGTATTTTTTTTTATTAGGATTGTCATGTACCTTGTACTAAACCAAACATTTTAAAAAATACAGATTTTTTTCAAATATGGCCATAAAAATTTCTTTTTAAATAATAAAATTTTTATATTTGCTATTTATAAATGTTTGATGACTGTAAGCAAACATTTTAGCAAATGCTATTAAACAGACCATGTGATGTCCAGTGAGCAATATCTCCTTCTAAATCATCTGATTGAAAGAAAGAAGTGATACTGATTGTCTTTTATAACGTAACTAAAGTTGATGAACAAACAGTATGCATGGGATGTTACCTTTAAAGCAAATGGAGTTTTTGTTTTTGTTTTTATTTTCTTATTTGTTTTTTAACCCTCACTCCTTTTATAGCTACTCAGTGGAAAACATTTTTTTCTTACCCTTGGATAAAAATGTTGACAAGCAATGTAAGTTTTTTCTTATCATAGAAAATAGAAAGTCTTACTTGTTTTTTACGGATTTTTGTTTTTTGTTTTGTTTTGTTTTAGAGACAGGGTCCCGGTCTTCACCCAGGATGGAGTGCAATGGCATAATCATAGTTCACGGCAACCTCAAATTCCTGGCCTCAAGCAATCCTGAACCTCCTGCCTCAGCCTCCTGAGTAGCTAGGGCTACAGGTGTAAGCCCTATCATGCCTGGCTAATTTTTTAACTTTTTTGTAGAGATCAGATCTCAGTATACTGCTTAGGCTAGTCTCAAACTCCTGGCCTGAAGCGATCCTCCCACCTTGGCCTCCCAAAGTGCTGGGATTACAAGCGTGAAGCACCACCCTGGGCCAAAAAGTCCTACTTAAAGTTATAAAACACACTTTCAATTTAGAAATAAATTAGTCAACACTTGCATCTTCATTCAAAAATAATACTCCTCTCTGCTATCTGAGCTAAAGCTGGCTACAAGTAGTCCTCAGGACATCTAGAGAGAAGCTTCATTGGCTTCGCTTCTCTTTCACACACTCATATCTTACTAGCTATTATTTTAATGCTGTCAAGGTCAAAACTAAAAGGAAAAGAAAATAAAACCAATGGTAATTTTTTTTTTTTTAATGAAGTTGCACTCTTGTCTCCCAGGCTGGAGTGCGGTGGCGTGATCTCGGCTCATTTCAACCTCCGTCTCCCGGGTTCGAGTGATTCTCGTGCCTCAGCCTTCGAGTAGCTGGGACTACAGGCACATGCCACCACACCTGGCTAATTTTGTATTTTTAGTAGAGCCTGAGTTTCACCATGTTGGCCAGGCTGGACCTCAAGTGATCCATTCTCCTCGGTCTCCCAAAGTGCTGGGATTACAGGTGTGAGCCACCATGCCCGGCCTAGTAAAATTCTTATTTATTCGATATTGTCATAAGATGTTTTCATATTTGCTAAGCTTAGTGGTTTGGGGGGCTTCTCTTGGACTTCTTTTGTGAGTTCATCAAAGTCTCCCAACAAACTACTGGTTTCTCACCAGAGGTTCTTTTGGTCTGGTGAATGTGCTCTATTTCTTTCTGCAGCCCAGAGGTTACCTCCAGTTCTCTTCTGTTGAGGCTTTACTGTGCCTGCAGACAGCCCTACTGGACATCATCTAAGAGGACCTTCTTACTGGCTCTCTCACATGCACACAGTGTACTTCTGGTCCACAGGACACACTCAGGTAGTCTTGCACAAGCAGATTTGTGAGAGTAGTATGGACCCTATATAAGAAACTGCAATTCTTTTTACTCTACCACCACAGAAACTCTCCCTTTTTCTGATCTTCAGGTTTCTCAAAGGGAGTCAGTCATCAGTGCACTCACTGTCCACCTCAGATCTCTCTGAAGGGAGCCATTATATCTCTGCTCAAACACCTGATGAGAGAGTGAATAAAATCTTAACACAGCTTTCTCTAAAGTGGTCCTCTTCACAAGTCTTATGATGAGAACCCCCATTTAACAGCACCTTCTATGTCATAAGATACTGTGTCCATACTACCTCTATATCACAATTTTCTGACATCAGAGAAAGAAAAAGAAAAGAAATTCTCAACAAACAAGGCTCTGACAACAAAAGCTGGCAGTTCTTGCAAAGACACCATTTGCCTCTTGCTTAAGACACTAAGCTAGCTCACCATTAGGGTATGTAAAAAGACATTTGCAATTTTAAGATGCCAAGAAGACTGTTATATATGCGTTCCTCTATTTCCTCTTTGGGCATGCAGATTAGTAGGAAAAAAAACAGTCTCAAATTTCACTTTTTAGGCTGTTATCTTTATGTCTATGTATTAGTCAGTTCTCACACTGCTATAAATACCTGAGACTGGGTAATTTATAAAGAAGGAGGTTTAATTATGTCATGGTTCTGCAGGTTCTACAGGAAGCATGGTGCTGGGCAGGCCTCAGGAAACTTACAGTCATGGCAGAAGGCAAAAGGGAACAACACTTCACATGGCTGAAGAAGGAGCAAGGGGGAGGTGCCATACACTCCTAAACGACCAGATCTCACGAGAAATCACTATGCAAAAACAGCACCAAGAGGGATGGTGTTAAGCCATGAGAAACTGTCCCTGTGATCCAATCACCTTCCACCAGGCCCCACCTCCAACAATAGGGATTACAATTCATTGTGAGATTTAGGCAGGAACACAGATCCAAACCATATCAGTCTATAATAACTTTTTTAATTCTTTAGTGAATTGTGTATTCTCATTGTCACCTGACCTGTTTTCCTTGATAGTCTGACAACTCACTTTGGAATTTAGCATCTGCGATTTTTCTGTCTCAGCCATAACTAGGAAGGAAAAATTCAATGTTAACATTGTATTATAGCAATAAACGAAGTTGTTCTATTGGATTCATTTATACAAAAACTTTCTCCTACCACCTCATATCCCTTTCTGGGATTTTTGTGTAGGAACCATAGCAACCTTATCTTTAGATTTTATATTCTCCAAAATATTGGGGTATAATTTTTGCTTCCAAACCATTAGAAAGGCAAATTTCTAATCCTTGCGTTTCACAAGGGAAATAGTAAATTGATTCTTTTATGTTTTTAATGTAAACTAAGGTCAAAAGAACAATACTACTGCAGAACTGAAGCCTCTCTCCTTTTAGTCTGAAACTTTAGCTGTCTATGCTATTTAGGCCAGAGAAAATGTACAAGGCTTTGTGTCCAGATCCCTACAAGTCATCTAACCAGGAGGTCACAAGTCCACCCCATCTTCCACTTCTGTTTTCAGGCCCTGAAGAGTATAGAGAAAATCCTGCTTTTCCTGGGGTTTTAAATGCTGGCAGAAGCAAGACTTATGGTAATAAGACCTAGATCAAAGGCCCATCCACCTGGTTCACAGGCCCATCGCCTGCCTCCACTCCTGCCTCTACCATGTCCATCAGGGTAACCCAGAAGTCCTACGAGGTGTCCACCTCTAGCCCCCCAGGACTTCAGCAGCCGCTCCTACACGAGTGGACCTGGTGCCTGCATCAGCTCCTCAAGCTTTTCCCCAGTGGTACCAGCAGCTTCCGGGGTAGCCTGGGTGGAGGTTATGGTGGGTCCAGCGGCATGGGAGGCATCACCACTGACACAGTCAACCAGAACCTGCTGAGTCCCCTTAACCTGGAGGTAGATCCCAACATCCAGGCCATGCGCACCCAGGAGAAGGAGCAGATCAAGACCCTCAACAGCTAGTTTGCCTCCTTCATAGACAAGGTACGGTTCCTGGAGCAGCATAACAAGATGCTGGAGACCAAGTGGAGCCTCCTGCAGCAGCAGAAGACAGCTCGGAGCAACATGGACAACATGTTCGAGAGCTACATCAACAACCTTAGGCGGCAACTGGACACTCTGGGCCAGGAGAAGCTGAAGCTTGGCAACATGCAAGGGCTGATGGAGAACTGCAAGAACAAGTATGAGGATGAGATCAATAAGTGTGCAGAGCTGGAGAATGAATTTGTCCTCATCAAGAAGGATGTGGATGAAGCTAACATGAACAAGGTAGAGCTGGAGTCTCTCCTGGAAGGGCTGACTGACGAGATCAACTTCCTCAGGCAGCTGTATGAAGAGGAGATCCCAGAGCTGCAGTCCCAGATTTCGGACACATCTGTGGTGCTGTCCATGGACAGCAGCCGCTCCCTGGACATGGACAACACTATCGCTGAGGTCAAGGCGCAGTACAAGGTGATCTCCAACCGCAGCCGGGCGGAGGCTGAGAGCATGCACCAGATCAAGTATGAGGAGCTGCAGATGCTGGCTGGGAAGCAGGAGGATGACCCGCAGCGCACAAGACTGAGATCTGCAAGATGAACTGGAACATCAGCCGGCTCCAGGCTGAGATTGAGGGCCTCAAAGGCCAGAGGGCTTCCCTGGAGGCCGCCATCGCAGATGCCGAGCAGCGTGGGGAGCTGGCCATTAAGGATGCCAACTCCAAGCTGTCCGAGCTGGAGGCCGCCCTGCAGCGGGCCAAGCAGAACATGCCGTGACAGCTGCATGGGTACCAGGAGCTGATGAAAGTCAAACTGGCCCTGGATATCGAGATCGCCACCTACAGGAAGCTGCTGGATGGCGAGGAGAGCCGGCTGGAGTCTGGGATGCAGAACATGAGTATCCATACAAAGACCACCAGTGTCTATGCAGGTGGTCTAAGCTCGGCCTATGGGGGCCTCACAAGCCCTGGCCTCAGCTATGGCCTGGGCTCCAGCTTTGGCTCTGGCGCGGCTCCAGCTCCTTCAGCCACACCAGCTCCACCAGGGCCGTGGTTGTGAAGAATATCGAGACCCACGAAGGGAAGCTGGTGTCCGAGTCCTCTGACGTCCTGCCCAAGTGAACAGCTGTGGCAGCCCCTCCCAGCCTGCCCCTCCTGCGGCTGCGGGAAAGCACAGGAGGGAGGCCACTGTGCAGGGTAGCACAGGGAACAGGGGACCCACCTGAGGCTCAGCCCTAGCCCTCAGCCCACCCACGGGGGAGTTTAGTGCCTGAGGACACCCCTTGCCCGTGCCTCCAGCTACAAAACAATTCAATTGCTTTTTTTTTTTTCCTGTCCTAAATAAATCCTCAGCTAACCCTGCCAAAAAAAAAAAAAAAAAAAAAAGTAATTACTTCACGCCTTAGGTGGTGAAAAACCAATTGGCATCTATTAAATGCATTTCAAACTCAAAAAGTATTTAAGATTAAGTAAAAGTAGACCTATTAAGATCAAGGAGTCATTATCTTTGCTCATTAAAGAGATATGTATCAGTCACAAAATCAGCAGGAAATAAACAAAATTCAGAATAATTTAAAGTGAGAGATGCCAGTGAAAAAATGAATTATAGAATAATGGACATGGCTTAGGAAACAAACAAGGTGTGTTAGTCCATTCTCACACTGCTATAAATAAATACCTGAGACTGGGTAACTTATAAAGAAAAGAGGTTTAACTGGCTCACAGTTTTGCAGGCTATGCAAGAAGTATAGCGACTTCTGCTTCTGGGGAGGCCTCAGGAAGCTTTCAATCATGGCAGAAGGCAAAGTGAGAACAATGCACTTCACACGGTTGGAGCAAAAGGAAGATGTGACCCATTGGGGATTACATTTCAACATGAGATTTGGGTCGGGACAGAGATCCAAACAGTATCACAAGGGATGCTGAGATGCCTGGAGACTGGTGATAGTGAGAAACCATTATGATTCCAGGGGCCAAAGCAGGAGGACGAAACATTGTCAAAGCAGAATGTCTCCTCCAACTCTACATTCTCCTTCTGGTGCCTTTGGTTTTGTGAACCCAACCCCAAGTCAGCTCACAAGAGAACCTGATGATGCAGTCCATTTTGGTCAACACCCTGAAGCATGAAGAAAAGCACAAAATAATAGACACTAGAACTGGATATTAAGATGACAGTGAAAATAATGAGCACAAGTTTCCAGTCAAAATATATCACCTAAAAATAGATATGCCATATTCTCTGTCTTTGGGAAAAAAATCCACTCATGAACAGACATGAGAGCAATTGGAAAGATGAGAGATAAGACAAAGAGTCCTTGAAAGCCAGTAAGCTCCAAAACAGCCATTGACTCAGACACAACTTGAAACTCTGTTGCTGGCCATTGCACAGGAGACCTGAAGTGGTGGAGGAGAGAGGGGGCATGTCCTAGGAGAAGTAGATATTTGGTAGAAAGGAGAGAAAACATCCCCAAGAAATACCCCAAAATTGTCAACTAGCATGCTTTCAGAAGATTGTATGTAATGATACTTGGTGAACTGTGAAAGCATTTAGCTGGCTGTAGTTATTAGTTACTGCTGTTATTAACAGCAGTCCAGGATGGAGTACCTAATAAAACCCCTATCATGACCATATTGAGCTTGCGTTACAAGCACCTTACTCCATTGTGGTGGCTATTGGCTTTCTCAGCTCCAAATCCACCATTCTATAGACTCTGCTTTTGATAAGAAGGCTGCAACTCATGAATCAGAATAATTGTTTGGTTCCCTGCTATGGTCCATTAATTGGGGGAGGCTAGGACACCGGAAGCTGCTGTAGGGACAAATATGTCTATCATGTTTGCTTGTTGTCCCTATCAGTGCCATCACAGCAATAGTTCTTTGCCCAGATGCATTGGTTCCAGTTTCTAGTTTTATTTTTTCCCACACTTCCAGCAATAATCTCATCATGCCCCTCAGAAGAAATAGAATCAACCATCAGTGGGCTGTATTCAGGGACCTAAGTCTCAACTCCACGAGAGGTCTTTCTGTGGTGTTCCTGAGGCATGAGCTATAGCGAGCGGGGAAGTCCCCTTTCCTGCAAGGTTGGCTCTTGGCCTCATGTTCTCCATCCTTTGAACTCCTAAGGTACCAGAACCAAAAGAGCAGCTCCCTCTCATTATAGGTCAGAATATAAGCTCTTGGGGGAACTCTCCACCAAAATCATAGTTTTTAATAAGCCCAAACTCTTCTCTTTGTTCCCAAGGTCATATAAGTAGAGGAAACTTCCTGTAGTTATTATCCCTGCATTATTCCTGTGTTCCTTTTTTTCCCTTTCAGTCCTCTAATACCTGTTTATCCAGTTCTTTGTACTAAATGCTTCCTGTGTTAGTCACTGGTGTGATTTCTATTTTTCAATCTAGACCCGAATAGCATATCCACTTCAACTTTCCTTGAGGATAAGGTCCAAGCATAGCATTATAAATCCCACCAGATTAAAATATTTCTGTATTTGCTTCTTGTTAACCTTGAGGCCTTACAGAAAATTAATTTATTTGAAGATGGTATTTCCCAAAAGCAGGAACACGCTTGTTTAGCAATAAGCATGACATTACTACTTCTGAAGAAACTATACAGATTGGAGTTGAATTAAGCATAGTTGTATTTCACAGAATGCTTATGCTCGACATCTTCCCTGAAGAGCTGGGAGAAAGTATGAATATTTGACCAAATACAGTTCGGTTACTGACAATGCAATAAAATATTTATTTATTATACTAGCTGTTAAATGTGGAGGTCAAGGAGGCCAGAGGCAAAGGAAAGTAAAAATATTTGGAACAATTGAGTAACCATGGACACGGCAAGCTGTCTATGGTAAATTTCGTTTATAAGATTCAGTAATTTGAAATTGTTAATGCACTTTTTATTCCCATTTGAGAGCAGCGTGATGTTACTTATCTCTTTAAGGGAGAAGTTTAAATAATAAGTAGACACTTTCTCTTTTTCTATTTTTTTAAAACAAAATAATACCGCATTTGCAAACTAAGCTGCACCATTAGTTAACAAAGTCTTTGAAAATGATTCATCTCAAATGTACAAATGTTCTTATTATCATCATGACTATCAAAGGAAAAGAATGGTATCCTTGAGAATCTTCAGCTCATATTAATCTCTCTGAGTTCACAGTCTTCTTACTTCAAACTAAGTTGTATTTTGGGAAACTTTAAATACAAGCCTGAGTCTAAACATATTAACCTCTCTGAATGGCATTTTACTCATCTATAAAATGACAAAGACTAGAAAAAATTGAAAGGTTCATCTAGTTCTTTGCCGTGCTACAATGGAGTACTTTTAGCACAGCCTAGCGTATCTGTTTGGTCTTCACACTGTAGATGATGGGGTTCATTACAGGAGGGATTAGTAGGTAGGCATTGGCAATCAAAGTATGCACATAGGGTGGGGCCTGCTTCCCAAACCTGTGAACAAAGGACAGAGTGATCAATGGAATGTAAAATACAGCAACAGCCCCAATATGGGAGATACATGTGCTGAAGGCTTTCTTCCTTTCTTCCGGGGAAGCAATGCTGAGAACAGTCTTAATGATCAAAATATAAGACAGGACAATAAAGACAGAATCTGCCCCAGCAGTGGTAATCAGGGCAGTCAGCCCAACTGCACTGTTGATCCTGGTGTCTGTGCATGAGAGCTTCATCACATCAGGGTAAAAGCAATAGGAGTGGTGGAGCACGTGGCTGCAGCAGTAGGACAGTCTTTTAAGAAGCAACACCATAGGAGTCAGTGTTATTGTTCCCCTGGTGATAATTGCTACTCAAATCTGTGCTATTTTAAGATCAGTTAAGACAGAAGCATATCTAAGAGGATTAGTAATGGCCACAAAACGATCAAAAGCCATGGCCAACAGCACTGAAGATTCCATGACAGTGAAGAGTTGAAGAAAGAACATCTGGGACAAGCGGGCATTAAAGCTGATTTCCCTCACATTGAAGCAGAATATACCCAGAATGGTGACCAGAGTGGATATGGACAGGCCGAGGTCAGTGGTGGACAGCATGGAGAGGAAATAATACATGGGTTCGTGGAGGCTGGGCTGAGTAACGATGGCAAAGAGGATCAGGCTGTTTCCTGAGAGGGCAGTTACATAGAGGAAGCAGAAGGGAATGGAGATCCAGGTGTGGAAGGCTTCCAGCCCAGGAACACCAGGGAGCAGGAAAATGATGGAAGTGGAGGTGATATTCTGCAAAGTTGACATATTGAACTCAAATGGCAGAATCTTAAGCTGAGTGTCTGGCAATGATAAACTGTATTTGTTTATTATGCATTTAATCTGAAATTATTTCACCAAGTAAACATTTATAAAAGATAATGTCTACCTTATATAGAAAGCCCATAAAGATTGGTTAATGGCAACAACAAATGAAGGCCACATCAAACAAAGGAGCAGAAAACAGGAAATGAATGGTTCCCTGAGGATACAGAATTTGCACAAAAACAAAGAGAGCAGCATTCCGTCTTATTTAAGTTCACATGTCTGATAAGTGACTTCAAGTGGTAGGTAGTCAGCAAATATTTGTTGAAGTGTGTTCAAAGGGTTGTATGATATTTTAGACAAAGAGTAATATATGCAGTGATTCTGATACAGTAATTGAATTACGCTAGCTTTTAGAGGCCCATCCAAAAAATCCTCTCTTTATCTCCTGCTATTTTCTTTCAATCAGAATCAGATCCAATATGTCTAATAAATAGCCAACATTTGTTGATCCCCTACTATCTGCAGTGTGATAATACCCTGGACAAGCATACAGTCTATTCGTGATATTAAAATTTAAACTGTCCCTAAGAAATTTTCATACCACATAGCGAGTGTGAGTTAGATATAAAAACATATACTTATGTATAAGCCAGAATTAGAATATATGGGGCCTCCAGTATGAAAGTATTATGGATAGTTTAATGTTATGAATTTTTATCCTGCATCCCAAGTCAACGTTTTTTACAGCTGCATGTTATAAATTTTAACTGGGTTAAAATACTCTTGACATTTACCAGCTGGGTTACCACATGATGAGTTACTAAACTGTATGTGCCTCATTTTCCCCATCTCTAAAGTAACAATGGTATGCATATCCACAGGACTGTTGTGAAGATTAACGTATGTGAAAATCTCAGCAGAGCATCTCACTGTGGTAAAAAACTTACCAAATGTTAGTTATTATCATTAAAGAGAAAAATTAAAGTTAAAAAAGTGTACACACATTGTTTTCCAAAATCTATCCCCAACCCCCACCATCATGTATCTACTTGTCTCTTTATCTGGTAGCTGAGAAAAAAAAAAAACAACATGGAAATATTCTAAATCTAATTTAGGTAATATCCACTGGTTAATATCTCTTTCTCATTTCATCTCTTCTTCCGCTACAACTATGTTTTTCTCATCCTTTCTTCATCTTTCCAAGTTAAAAAGAAGAGCTCTTACTCCTTTCCAGACAACCCCCATTACCTAGTCTCAATCTATCTTGGATGTTAGCTTTGTTTAACATCAAACATTACTGAGTGCAAGCCGCAATCCAGACTGTTGAGATACAGAGCCAAGTCAAGTATTGCACCTGCCCTGAGGATCATAAGGAAATAATAGGATAGTTCAGAAAACAAATGTGCAAACAAACAAATAATAAGACTGTATTTAAAATACAGAGGTATCTATATTAGAAAGTTGGAGGGGATGGAGTCAAACGGCTTCTCTGAGTAAGTAAAGAATTGTCGAGCAGAGGCTGATAAGTGAAAATCATCATGAAAGAAATTCTAAGCATATTCAAAGGCAATGGGGTTTCAGATATTTTAGAAATGCCACTAAAGTGTGAGATAAAACGTACCAAAAGGTAGTGTTTAAGAGGTAAGAAAGGGCTGGGAACGGTGGCTCATGCCTGTAATCCCAGCACTTTGGGAGGCCGAGGCAGGTGATCAACTGAGGTCAGGAGTTTGAGACCAGCCTGGCCAAAATGGTGAGACCCCATCTCTACTAAAAATACAAAACATTAGCCAGGCATGTTGGCACACACGTGTAATCCCAGCTACTTAGGAGGCTGAGGCAGGAGAATCGCTTGAACCTGGGAAGTGGAGGTTGCAATGAGCTGAGATCGCACCATTGCACTCCAGGCTGGGCAACAAGAGCGAAACTCCATCTCAAAAAAAAAAAAAAAAAAAAAAAAAAAAGAGGTAAGAGAGATCAAGTATGGAATTATCTTCTTTGCTTCAAAAGCATAAGAGATTTTTTCTATTCATACAATCTATATAAACATGCAATTTATCCCTCAATCTAAATATAATTAAAAACAACAAGAACAACGTTCTTCTTAGCCTGCATCCCTGCTGTGTGTATCTCCTTTCCTACACCAACAACTCATAAAATGATTTGTCTATCCTCATTTCCCTCCCTCATGATTCATACCTATATTTGAAATCTGGTTCTGTTTTTGATCAAAACATTCTTTGTTGCATTAGTTGTCTATAGCTGCATAAGAAATTACTAAAAATTCAGTGACTTTAAACAAGACACATATATTACCTCACAGTTCAGTAAGGCAGATGTCTGAGCACAGCAAAAGTAGGTGCACTACTCAGGATCTCGCACGGTTGAAATTAAAATTCCAGCCAGTACCATGTTCTTAATTGGAGAGGAACAATTGGAGATTGTTCTTAATTACAATCCTCACTCAGATTGCCGTAGGAATTTAGTTCCTTGTGGTATATGGTTGAGGTCTCCAATTTCTTGCTGGGCTTTTAGCTTCTAGAGGCTACCCTCAGTCCCAGTCATGTGTTCTTCTCACAATATGACATCTTAGGTCTTCAAATCCAGCAGTAGAACCTCCTTCGAGATTCTTCTCTCTTTTAAAGACTTCCGTGATTAGGTAAGCCCTAGCAGGATAGTCTTCCTTTTGATTAACTCAAAGTCAAGTAATCAGGGACCTTAGTTACATCTGTTAAATCCTTTTGCCATATAATGTAACGTAATCATGGGAGTGATATCCCATCACATTCACAGGCCCCACTCACACACCCAAGGCATGGGTATTGCTCAGGACAAGTACACCAGGATGGGCAGAAATCTTTAGAGCCCTTTTAGAATTCTACCAACCCCATCTGTCATGGCTATCCAGTCTCCAAATCTTTATAGGTTCAACTTCTGAAATGTCTCTTGATTGACCATATTTATCTTCCAGTTTTATTAGTGACCTTCCTCCCTACCCTCAGAAATCTTTTTATATACTCCACCTGGGCTTTTCCCTACTTCACCAAACTACCAAATATAGCAAGTTCTTTCACACTAATGTGCTTGCTTAATTCATGTAGTTCTCTCTTTTTTGAATAAGACAAAAAATTTTAGATCCACTATTTGATCCACCGAACTACGTATAAATTAAACATGAATTTATTTCAGGAAGCATTTGGTGGCATCACCTACTCTAAGTCAAGTCAGAAGAACTTACTTCTTCCTCTGGAGTTATATTCTTTTTTTTTTTTTTACAGGAAAAAAAGACTTTATTTGATAACAGCTTGATGAAACGATATTCTTTTATATTTATGCATCTAAAATAGTGTTTATTCCATTGTACGATCAAATACACCTCTCTAACAAAATTAAGTTACTGGAAGGTAGTTCATTGTTTTTTCATCGTTATATTCCCAATACCTTGAAATATATTTTGAGAAGTATGGGCATACAATATATACATGTTGATGTGAATTCAATCCAAGAGTTGTTAACTGACCAAGATTCTGAACACATCTCAGGACCTCAACACATTCAATTTTGTCTATTTAAAACATGCTGTGTTGCCTAAAATTATATATGTGGCTTCTGGAAGAATCGCACAGAGCTCTCCAGTGTTCTCACAAACTGAGTAATGTGTGTGTGTGTGTGTGTGTGTGTGTGTGTGTGTGTGAGAGAGAGAGAGAGAGAGAGATTTGGGGTTTTACTGATGGAAGACTCTGTCCTAGTATTGGAGGGTTAACTTTTATGTGCCCTCCCATTTGTTGACAGTAATTATCTTCCTATTATACCAAGATAACACTCCAGGCCCATTGTAAGAATGTGTTTCAAGTTATTTCCTGGGCTACCTTGACTTATCTCTCTTCTCTGATTACAGAGTAAGTGATATTGTTATACCGTCATACAAACCTAGGTTCAAATTTGGTCTCTGCCACCTAGAGCTAGCCGGAGTTCTCCAAATAAGCACTTTACATCAGATTCCACTAAGGTGAAACTGGTAGTTCACCAATGGCACTACTTTGTAAGGATTAAACAAGATAACATTGCAAAGCATATAATATGCTGACCAGTGTGTGGGACGTGGAAGTCACGTGATATTGGTAAATGAAGATGAGGATGAGGATAAGAATGGCAGTGGCAGTGTGTGTGACGGTGGTAGTGGCTGTTGACTTTAGGACCTTCAGTGGCAGTTATAAAATGTGACACAACTAACCAGGAAACTTAAAATTGCATGGACACATTAACAACCTGCTCTAAGCAGCAAAACAAATGGCTCATAGACCAATCAAACCTCCTCAGAATAGAATGTTCCTAGAAAATACAGATTTCAGAAAATAGATTTCCACAATTTTCCTTAGGCACCCACAAGAGCTTTCTGCAGCTAATAAAGTCCCCCTCATTCTTAAAAGAAACCAGGGCGTGTAAAGTGTAATGTTTTTCGTAAATGCAGCAGTTTTACTTACAAAGTATAAGGATGTGTTCTTTCCTGCCTGTTTTCCAGAAAGGAGCCTGAGGAGCTGGGGATGTATTCTACCCAGAAATAAGTAGCATATATCTGAAGCCATATCTCAGGATGCCTGAAAGCTCTTAATAAGCTCCTGGTGGTGATTTCTGCAGCCCCCAGAGTATGAAGCTTCCCAAGGGCTCATTCTACTTCATGGCTTTCTTCTCCTTCTACTTCATGTTCTTTTATAGTTTCCATGAAGGGACTGCTGTTACAGGTCTTTGATCTTATGTGTTGTTAAAATTTTCTTAAAAGTAAATTTGTGAGTAACCACACCCTCCCAAAAAAACCCACCAGATCGCCCCTCATCTTCACACCACTCCCACACCCAACTGATAAACTTATCTTCCTCCTATATTATTTAGGTGAATTTTATATATTTTTAGAAACCCCTCTGCTTGTGCTTCACTCTATGCCCCCCAAAAATCTTCATTTATTCTTTCATGGAACATTTGAAGTATCTTTCATATTCTAGGACTTTGTACTGGTAATACAGAGAATAAAACAGAGTCTTTTCCCTCCAGAGCTCCTTGGAGGGAACCACCTGTGGAAACAGACATAAAACTCAGTGTTTACAATGAGGGATATTTACGATGACAGTACAGAAGAGTTGTGTTTATCCTGAAGGAAACTCAGAACCAGGTCTGTCAGGAGACAATGGAGCACAGAGTGTAGGAAGAACAGAAGGTGACTAATAACAGACTCAGCTCACTTGGAACCCTGGGTGCCAGTGTGGGGGAGAGATGAAGCTAAATAGGGAGACAGGATCTATGTTAGGCATGAAGATCTTTTATGCATCCTAAGTCATTTGAATCTAAATAACATAATACAAATAACACAGCATGGAACTTAGTCTTTCCTCTTCCCTAGAAAAATGCATTTTTACAGCTCCACGTGAAGCAGCTGAGGAAGTCAGGCACCTAATTTGAGAATCCCTAATATATTGCAGTTTTCTGCTTGGTTTCAATATCAACCTGAATGGTACAAACATCACATTTTCCCCCTAAACTCTGATATATCCGTTTATAGAAATGTCAATTTAGAAGACATTCTCAAACAGAACCTCAACACCCTATCGCCTACTCTTTCAAAGTCTACTTCAGATTAACCAGACTACTATTTTCAGCATTAGTTCTCACAGTTTTAAACAACCATTGTTTCAGATGGACTATAAATAAAAGCAAAATGTATAGACCATAGTATTGGATGTTGTTGAATTCAGAGTGTAACATAGATAGTAGGGAAAAATAAGAGATATAAGCTGTAAGATTAAAAGAAAAAAAAACTTAGAAATAAGAAAAAATATAAAGTATTACTTTATAAAGAGAGAAAATAAATATACTTCAAAGTGGATTTTATTAAGGTACGTATAACTATACTATACAAGATTATCTGTAATTGACACTTCATAAATTACATTATTAAAGCATGAATCAAAATTGTTACTTTCACAATAACATTCTTAGTACATCTATTTTAAGATACACCCAAAAATGTGGTTGCTCCAACTTCAAAATTATTTTTGAAAACTTTTCCTATCCATATGAAATTTAAATAACTTATGTTTATGCTTTCATTGCTTAGAAATGAGTGCATATTATATTTTCTCTATTAAACAGTAAATTTCTAGGAGCTATATTTTTCTTATTAAGTCAAGTATTTCCTGGGCTGGTTGTTTTTCCATTGGTTCAGGCTTCTACTGGGAGAAAGAGAGACCGCCATCTATGACTACTCTTAGCATGTGGTATAATGTTTTGTACACAGTTTGTAAGTAAAAACTGATTAAAATATTGTTTGAATTTAGATATGTTTAGTCAGATTTAAACACCTTAAGAATGAAGGCTGTGCCTTCCCCATTCACTGTTTTATCCCTAGTACCTCCCTTCCACAGTGTTTGCCAAAATGAAGATGCTCAAAATATGTCAGTATATATGTGAAGTTATATAAAAATAAATTTAATTCAATAAGCATACATTAAGTAGCTATTATTAATAAAGCACTGCACTTGTATCTGTGCGAGATACATCAATTCCCAAAGTCCAATGCCCATTTTCAAAAAGTTTCAGATCAGTAGGGGAAGAGAAATCTGACTCCCTGTAAGACAAAGATTTATTAACAGCACCTGAAAGAATAATAAATGGAACAATCAGGAAAAGAAAGAGGTGGGTATGTCAGTCAGAGAGAGCAAAATAATCACAGACTTAGAGGCAATATATTCCTGGTGTTTTTCAGAAATATATATAATTCATCAAAGTGGATAGACCCCAGAAAAGTGTTACTCTTTCATACATGATAATCCGTAAATGTCTTGTTAAAATGCAAATTTGTGGGTTCCATTTCAAGGGCTTCTGTTTAAGTAGCTCTGGAGCGGAATTGAGGAATCTGCACTTTAAACGGAAGTGTCAAGTGGTTTGGATGCACAGATGCTGGACCACATTGAGAAAAGTGATAGATGCAAGTAGAAAGTGGATGTCATCTTATGAGTGTATTCAGTGGGTTGCATGAGGCCAGATCTGTGAAGACCCACTGGAATGAAGATCTTATGTAAGATGAAGAACTAAAAAAGTTTTGTTTTGTGGGAAGGTATTAAGTGGAAATTACTTCATTATCCAAAAAGAAAAAGAAACCCTCATTATTGAACATTTATAAAATGCAAGAAAGTGTAAAGAATATGTCAGCAAAACAATATCCAGCTATCAAATATAAGCTGTTGTAATGTTTGGGATATGTCTATTTATACTTTTTAATGTGCATTTACACATATTCACATGAAATATATACACAAGTAAGTACTTTGTATACTAACCTATATTTTTTAACAAAATGTAATTTATATTTGTATCAGTATTTAACTTGTTGCATTGTATTTTATGTTTTATTAGGTCAGTACCCTAAAGTAATTATTTAAGCAGTTTCCACATGTTCATTGCAATGTATAATGAATGATGTGTTGAACATCACAATATATCTTTACATTCTTGCCCATTTTTCTTCTTTAGACATATATTTAGACAATGGACCCCCAGATCTTCTACTATTAAAATACAAATGCATTTACCAAGGTGACCTCAAGTACTCTTTTAAGAATTAGGAAAGTAGTCCTTTTATTAATACTTCTTGCTTATTGTGCTTATTCATATTCTTCAGCCATTTACAATCTGTCTGGTGGAATAATGAATCATCACAAATAAACTGTAAGAATTACTAAAACCTAGACTTTGCCTACTGATCTACGTTACATGAGATCTACTTTGGATAGCTACATGCTCTAGAGGTGGTGAGACTCCTAAACTCCAAGTATGACTTTACTTGTGCATGCTTTCAGACATATTTTAACTGTGGTCCTATACTGTGCTAGGTTCAGTATTCATGAAAGGATCAGAAGTACCGACATAATCTCTGCCCTTAAATAACTCACCATTTAGAACTGTGTAAATGGTAAGTTAGTGGATCATCAGAATAGAAAGAAAGCATGTTGAAACCAGCTGTTTCAATAAACAACAGTAACTCACAGTACTGAATGATCAAACATGGGTCAGGGAAGACTTGGTAAAGAAGGAGTACACTCAAACTTCCCTAAATTAGCTTAGAAAGAAATGCTTTGAGCACAGCCTTGCGAATTTACTTGGTCTTTACACTGTAGATTATGGGATTCATTACAGGAGGGATAAGCAGATAAACATTGGCAATGAGCATGTGCACAAGGGGAGGGGCATGCTTTCCAAATCTGTGCACTGGTGACAAACTGATCATGGGGATGTAGAAGATGGCAACTGCACTGATGTGAGAGACACAGGTACCAAAAGCCTTTTTCTGCTCCTCTGGGGAGGCAATGCAGAGCACAGAGCGGACGATCAGAACATAGGAGATGAGGATCAAGACAGAGTCTAAGCCAGCAGTAGAGATAACAATGGCCAGGCCAAATGCACTGTTGATCCATGTGTCTGTGCATGAGAGCTTCATCGCATCAGGGTGGAAGCAGTAGGAATGGTGGAGCACATGACTACGGCAGAAGGAGAGGCGCTTAAGGAGCAGGAGTAGAGGCACTAGAGCTGTTGTTCCCCTAAGAACAATTGCAAAGCCCACTTTAATAATCCGTGAATTGGTTAAGATTGTGGCATATCTCAGTGGGTTACAGACGGCAATAAAGCGGTCAAAGGCCATTGCCAAAAGTACTGAGGACTCCATGAATGTGAAGCCATGGATAAAGAACATTTGGCCAATGCAGGCATCAAAACTGATTTCTCGAGCATTGAACCAGAAAATACCCAGCATGGTGGTCAATGTAGAAAGACACAGACCTAGGTCCATGAAGGATAGCATGGAGAGAAAATGATACATGGGTTCATGGAGGCTTGACTCAGTGATGATGACAAACAGGATCATGCCATTCCCAGAGATAGCAATGACATAGAGACAACAGAATGGGATGGAGGTCCAGATCTGACGGGTTTCAAGGCCAGGGATGCCAGTAAGGAAGAAGACTGCAGGGTGGAAAATACTCTGGTTGAAGGATGGCATGATGAGCGAAGAAGCAGATGTCTTTGAGGAAAAGAACTATGTCCTGTAATAATGGAGAAGAAAAGCATTTTCACTTTCTTCTATACACCATACAATTTGTGATCACTAGAGAACCACATCCTATTCTTCAATGAAAATGCATAGCCACTTACTGTTTTCTTATATGTGTTCTTGAATGAACTAGGAGAGGACACAGACACTAAATTGTGTAAAGAAACCTGGTTTTTAGCAAGATTCCCATTATATTACATCTAGGCTTCAGGATACTTATATATACATATATAAAACAGGAGATTAGTTTCAATAATAGAAAATGTTTCCCATTTCTATGACTGTATGTACACGGGCAGATGGGATATTTCCGGACAGCCATAAGAAACACAACAGGAAATTCACCCTGCTTTTCTTCACTTCTCAGTTTCTGCGGCAAAAACCCTAAGGTGCATTAAAGTTTATAAGTCCATGTGACCCAATGAAAGTAAGAGAATAAGATAATATTAAACATTTTCTAGTAAAATACTCCTGATCAAATGAATACACAATAGCTGTTGAGTGAAAAAAATAAATAAATAAAACTAAGTACCAGGAAAGAAACAATTAAATCTAAATGGACCACAGTGGGTGACAGTAGAAAAAAGGTTTGTTTATACATGTAATAATTGAGAAGTTGATTATGTTCAAAGGATATTCTGCCTGAAAAAAGATGGCTTAAATAACCTTAACAAGAACAAAGGAATTCATTGGAAAGTCATGGATAATAACTGGAGTATTTACCTGAGCAAGTTTCTTGATTTTCCATTTCTGCAAAAGGGCATTGAGAATAGATTGGCTGGGGGAAGGAGGTTTTCTCTGGAGATCTAAGTGTATGCTCACCCAGATCCATAAATCTGTAGGATTGAAAATGTTTCTGTATATTGCTTCTTGTCTTAAGTTTTCTGACACTGTTTTTATCTATAGAAAGAATGTTTGGTTTTTAACATATTTATGTTCCCCTTTTACTTACTCATGCATGTATTTACTCAAAAAAATTAAATACCTACAGTGTTAGTGTGTGCATTAGAATTAGACTTGCTACTTTAAGAAGGTCTGACCCTGAGAAAGAAAATATTTGAGTATAGGTTAACTTAGTTATCTTCATTGCAACCCCCCGAATGAAAAGACAGGAGCTTAGACATCAGTAAGAATAACTGGTTACAGGAAGTGTGTTCAAGAGGGCATTTCTCTAGGTATTTGAGAAGAAGGAAAAATGTTCAATACAGGAAGCCTCTTTGAGTTCTCACACACACGCAAAGAAAGATAGTGGCTGGAAATTTTGAATTGAGAGGCAATGCAAGACAAAACAAAAGCTATGGATCTTCGAGTCAAGCCTTGGATCTCAGTTGGAAGATAAGCTTCACTTTTTCACCTGTGACTTTACATACGAGAATCGGGACATGTACCTACTTCTGCATCCTAGGGAAAATGACTCCTGCCCTGATAATAGGGCTTGAGAGTTGTGAAACTAATGTCTATGGTTGAAGTCACAGGATCAGTGAAAAATATCTTAGAGTAATAAATCTAAGGGAAATGAAGTCTGAGGACAGAGTGCTGGGGAACAGCAGTATTTAAAGAAAAGACCAGAAGAAGCGTCCTCTAATGAAACTGAGGAGACATGGCCACTAAGGCAAAAATGACTCCCAGGAAAATATAAGGACCATTTTTTCTCAGACCTACGATCTCAGAGCCAGAAAAAATGGCTAGCACAACAGCATCTAAAAGTATCTATTAAATGAATGAATGAACTGCTTCTGAAAATAGTGATAAACCCCAGTGCTTAATATTTCCACATATGTGTGATTCCCGATATGTGGCCCCCTCAAATTATAAGTTAAATTCATGCAATCATAAAAACATATTTCAACATAGGAGGAAAACAAGCAGTTTTCTCAATAATCTGATATTTATCTTTGAGACAAGGACTTTGCTCAGATTTGGACCTAGTGATAAAAACATTTATTTTCCCAGTTGAAGTGGAGAGCAAGTAATGACCTCAAGGTCATACACTCTTTATTTTAAAAATGAGGAAGCAGCCTCTCAATTTAATGTTCTTTTTATTATAGTAAATAAACCCAATTTGCAAACCAAATACCTGATTAGGGGTTAATATTCAAAATATATAAAGAACTCCTACAACTCAGTAGCAAAAACACAAATAACTCAATTTAAAAAGGGACAAAGGACTTGAATAGAGATTTCTCCAAACAAAACATACAAATGGCCAACAAATATAAAAAGATGCTCAACATTACTAATCACATAAATGTGAATCAAAATCATCAAAATCACAGTGAGATATAACCTCATAGCTATGAAAATACTTATTATAAAAAACAATAGCAAGTGTTGACAAGAATGAGAAGAAATTGGACCTATTGTACACAGTTGGAGAGAATGTAAAATCATGCAACCACTGTGAAAAACAGCACATCCACTCTGAGTATATATCCAAAGGAAAGGAAATCAGTTAGTCAAAGAGGTATCTGCACTTCCATATTCATTGCAGAATTAGTCACAATAGCCAACATATGGAAACAACCTAAATGTCCATCAACAAATGAATGCATAAAGAAAGCACAAGACATACATGTAATAGAATACTATTCAACCTTAAAAGCAGTAATATTCTGACACATGCTACAACATGGATGAACCTGAAATGAAATACTTCATGATTCCACTTATATGTGAAGTATCTCTTAGCCAAACTCATAGAAACAGAAACTAGAATGGTGATTGCAACAGACTAGGGAGAGGGAAAAATGGGGGAGATGCTGTTAAACAGGTATAAAGTTTCAGTTACTAAAGAAGAATTAGTTCCAGAGATCTGATATACAACATTTTACTTATAGTTAACAATACTGTATTGTGCTATTAAAAGTTAGAGTAAATCTCATGTTAAGTGTTCTTTTCTTTCTTTCTTTCTTTCTGTCTTTTTTTTTTTTTTTTTTTTTTGAGATAGGGTCTTGCTCTGTTGCCCAGGCTGGAGTGCAGTGGCGCAATCACTGCTCACTGTAGCCTCAAACTTCCAGGCTCCAGTGATCCTCCTGCCTCAGCTCGCCAAGTAAAGAACCTGTAAAGTAGCTGAGACTACAGGCACACACCATCATGCCTGGATAATTTTTTTTTATTTTTTGTAGAGATGGGGTTTCACCATGTTGCCCAGGCTGGTCTTGAACTATTGAACTCAAGGAATACACCTGCCTTGGCCTCCAAAGTGCTGGGATTACAAGTGTGATTTTATCACAATAAAAATAAATAGAATAGCTATATTGTAAACAGCAAAAATAAAAATAAAACATAAAAGAAAAACCCAACAGATTAAGTACTTGGCTATATTTCTCTCTAATAAAATTAGTGGTAATGTATTTAATGCCTTCTACGTGCCAAACAATTTACTTCACTGAATCTGAGTCCCCCTTTCCACTGTACATAGCTCATAGAATCTTTCTTCAACTCCTGCAATCAAAGGGAAACGTAATAGGATTCTTGTAACAGAGGGAACTCTATTAGCAAACATGGGTCCAAGAACAGCTCCCCCCACCACCACCACCACCACCCGCCCCCACCATCCCTGCTCCTGGAGCTGGAGTGCAATGGCACAATCACCTACTCCTCCCAGGTTCAAGCAATTCCCTTGCCTCAGCCTCCCGAGTAGCTAGGACTACAGGTACATGCCACCACACCCAGCTAATTTTTTGTATTTTAGTAGAGATGGGGTTTCACCATGTTGGCCAGGATGGTCTCGATCTCCTGACCTCGTGATCTGCCCACTTCAGCCTCCCAAAGTGCTGGGATTACAGGCGTGAGCCACTGCTCCCGGCCAATAATAGCTTTTTAAAAAAAATTCTGTGATTCTTAAACCAGTCTTGAGTTGTCCTGCGCTAAAACTAATGAGCAAATATTAAACTCTTCTTAAACAGTTCTCTTTAAGTGTCTCTTTCTCCCCCACTGAGAATTCTTCCATGACAGAGCCTATAACTTAAACATCCCTATTACCAGACTACCAGGAACATCTAAATAGACAGCCCTCACAACAAAGCTTCACATTCATTACTATCACAACACCATTATTGGGTATTAATAACTCCCCTTTATGGGTGAGAAAGCAGGGTAAGATTAGATAATCGAGTCTCAGAGGAAACATACGACGTTCTCAAATTCACCCAACAAGCCAATGGCAGATTCAGGAATTGAGCTCTGTTCTTACTCCAAACGCCATGCTCTCGCAAACTCCTTATTTAAATTTTTTTTTCTTTTTTTACTGTGGCATGAACAAACACATGCTGATGACTGTAGTCTATATTTGGAATAACTATTTTGAACGCTACAACGATATTTTTGAGTTGACATAACGTATGAAAATACACTACTGAGTTCATGCTCACATTTACTCTGAATACTTCCGCGTTTGTTTCATATACTATCTGAAGGTTATACAGTACCTAATTTATTTATAACTGTCTTCAATGCACTACAACACTGACCTTGTGCACAGAATTCTTGGGTCTGGAAGGTGAGGTTATTTGATCCTGCCCCCTGCTATTTGAAGGATCATCCCACACAGCAGAGAATCTATTAATGCAAAGCAAGTGAGAGAGAGTTATCTCAACCTCACTAACTTACTTGCAGAAAGGTTCTGTACTACTATAGCTGCGGAATCAGCCCCTGATCAGCCCTGCCCCTGGACAAAGAGGTCCTCTTCTGCCAGGAGAAAACATAGGGAAAAAATTCAGGAATAGGAGAACTACCAGATTTGAGAAAAACAGCCTTTATAAGGAGCCTAGAAGTCACCTGGTGAGAGTCATTTACCCAGCAGAAAAGCAAATTCCTAGGGGAGAACTCCCTACAGCTGTGTCCTGTTAACCCTTTGTGCTCCAAATAACAAATTGTAAAAGGCAACATATTTTCAGTCTATCTTCACTCTTTCTTCCCCAAAAGATAATTCTATAGATGAACTGCAATTTCAATTCTCATTCAAGAGCAATTTGAGCCCTAAACAGCTGTAGGACAACTTTGCATAGAGCCAGAGTAAGGAAGAAGTGTTGTTGTTAACGGATCATTAACAGCTGAGTTTGCTCAGCTGCCATTTGCCGGTTTCACAGCAATCACGAGACACGGAACCCAAATAGGAAAGGGGTTGCTGAGTTACTACATTCACTGAAGGTAGTGCAGTGGTTTTCTGATTGAGGGCCCAGGCCCTCCCCTGAATTTCCTGGGAGCTGTTGCTAACCTGTGCATAGTCACAGAAAATGACAACTTAAGAGGAAGTGACTAAAGGAAGACTACAAAACTTTATGAGTCCCTTGTGTGTCCCTTGCTAGCTTACAGAGATACTAGTCTGCTCTGTCCTAAAACTGCTACCAGCATGTTTACCACTGTGGTGGAGAATTAACCATGTTTGACAGACAGCTTCTATTTAAGCTGTGGACACTCATAAATGGCTTTCAGCTTTGTCATTAATACAGCGTTTCACAATTAATGGTGAGCTTGGAAGCTTGGTAAATTTCAAGGACAACTATTTAAACATGTTTCTTGGCATAAGAGGCTGTATCAAGAGGCCATTACCTTACAAAGTCCTGCTGTATGGAAGAAGGGGACGAGTTAACTATTCCCGTTAGAGTTGCTACAGAGCAGAAAATTTAATTATCCTGTTTAATTTTTTTCTTCTTCTCATGTCACAAGATTCTAGATCCCTAGGAAAATCTGGAAAGATGCATTTTTTCCCAGAAGTTCATAAAGAACCTGAGAAAATATGCTCTCTTTTTAGGTATTTTCTGGACTAATAGAAGCATAATCTTCCCCCATAAATACCTCAATGGGTTAGGGGGGAAATCTTAACAGTCCCAGATAAATGTGCCACATAATGTATGAGACTCCGTGGGAAAAAATGCACAATTTAAATAGAAGCTTTCAAGATACAGAAGCAAAAACAGACGTCCAGGCTGTTACAGGGAAATAAATGTGAAAATCTTACTATCCATGCTAGGAATTCCAGTCTGAGGGGCACTGGTTCATGCTCACAGACACAAGTGCAGGCTGATCTTCTACACACAGCTGCAGAAAATGGAACACAGAAGAGCTTCGGACTCTTTTTTAGTGCACACTCCAGACATTTAAACCATTCACCAGCCAAGGCTTAACAATCAGTGGATACAAGAAGGGCATAATGATCAATGCTCATTTTGACTGGTTGTCTATTCTAATTGTACTGTCCCAGGACTTAAGTATGTTACACACTTGCCTACATCTACCTGTCCATTAAGAGTCAACATAGCATTGGTTCAACTGAAAGTATTTGGAACCAGACAACCTTGGTCCAACCAGACAACCAGACAACCTTGGTCCAAAGCTCAGCTCTGTCACCAATCGTGTGACCTTAGACTACATCACCTCTGTTTTTTGCTTTTAATGTGGAGAAAATCGTTATACTGCTTTATAAGTCTATGTTGTAAAATAAGATAACCCAGTATTGATCCATAAAAAGGTCTTAGCACATTTGCACTCACTCAAAATGTGTTATTAATCATTGTAATAATTTATTTTTATTATTTATCATGATTACTATTGTTCTCATTAATATAGCAATTTTATTAAATTATCATTTAGTGCCTAGTATGTGTCAGATACTATGTTCCAATGTTGAGATGAGAAGGTGTAGTATCTACTCTCAAGGAACTCATATATCAGACAGATAGATAGACAACCATTATAACACAAATCTGGTCAGGACATTATCCTGCTTTCAATTCTTTGGCTTCCCAGGTCCTCAGAAATCTGGCCTTGCGACTGCTTTAGGTGGAGAAACATTTATTTCTACTCTCTCCCCTTCAGTCATACAGAGCTCATTTTCAGTTTCCTAAACATGGCATGGTTTGGCTCAGGTCTGAGCCTTCTCTCATTCTATTCTCTGAGGCAGTATTATGATGTTTACTGATTCCTAAACTCTGTTTCAAATATAATTCAAAACAGTTTTATTTTTTATTTATATTAAAATTAAAATAACTTTTTATCCTACATTTTCTGATTGCAGATTGTGGATAAATTAATGGAAGCTTAATTATGTGGGGGTTTTTTATCCTTTTTTAATTTTTCTTTTTAGTTTCCCTACTTTGCAGTGCCCTAATTTGGTCCTCAGTCCGCCAAGCAGATGAAACACCACAGCAGCTGACCATGCCTGGAACATTTCCTTAACCTTCTGTCATCTCCTCACCCTACTCTACTCTCCTGCCCTCATTACTAGCTCCCCTGTCAAAACCCTTTTCACTCACTCGGATCTCATATTATCAATTACATTTGGTTAGCCTCCCTTGATCACACAGGCTAACTTGTCCCAGCACCTAGGTGATCTATACCAGCACTTCACAAATATGAATGGCACATTAATGCGCTAGGTATCTTGCAAAAGCGCAGGTTCTAATTCAGAAGATCTAATTTTCTTTTCATTTCCAACAAGTTTCCAGGCGATGCTAACATTATTGGTCCTTCAATAGCAAAGATCTCTGTGAATACCACTTGTAGAGTAATTATAATACAGTATTTTAATTTCCCATTTACTTATTTGTATCCCCCATTAGACTTCGAACTGTGTAATATTTGGGTTGATATCTATCGTGTTCACTGTTATACCCTCAGGATCTTGTTCAATACCAGATATATGTAGAGTATCTATACAATATTTCTCTTAATAAATCAATTAAGAACTTTAATGAAAGCATGTGCAACAAGATATAGTGGGAGCAGAGAAGAATGGAATAAATAGGAATATTAGGAATAGCTAGAAGTTCACAGGGAGAGGTAAGGAGGAGTGACATTTCTATATACACCAAAATTGAATGGTCAGTGTTAGCCATATCAACGGGGTAGGAAAACTGCTAAATCCAACATGGCTGGATCCAGGAAAAGAGGTGAGTGAGGCTTTCATCAGACCATGGAGGGCTAGTAGGCCATATGGAGTTCTAATAATTTTTCTGAACAGTAGTATAAACAAAATGGTTTTTGACTTAGTGTCTTAATCTATTTCCTCTTGCTATAACAGAATACCAAATACTAGGTAATTTGTGAAGGAAAGAAGTATATTTAGCTCACAGTTCTGGAGGCTAGGAAATTCAAAAGCATGGTGCCAGCCTCTGGAGAGAGGTTTTGTGCTGCCATTACATGGTGGAGGGCATCACATGGCAAAAGGGCAAGGGCATTTGTGTCAGCCCAGATCTCTTTTTCTTCTTATAAATCCACCAGTCCCATCATGATGACCTTATCTGATCCAACTTATCTCCCAAAGTCTTCATATCTAATCAAGATATGACTTTGGGAATTAAATTTCCAACATGGGAGACATATTCAAACAGTAACACACAGCAACCCGTTTTCGTTGCTGTTGTTATTGTTTGTTCTCTTTTAAGTTTATTTCTACAATTTCAATGCATTAACCCTGGATTACCTGTTTTGCCTCTGGCCTCTTGCTCCTGTATCAAACCCTGTTTCTTTTATATCTTAAACTGTTTGCTCCTTGTGCTAGTCTTAGCCCTGAAACTTGTTTTTCTATTTCCTGATCAAGCATGACCATCCACTTGAGCTGGTATATGCACAAATTTTAAAGGTTGCATAACATCCCAGGACTCGATATAAATGCTTTATATATTCTGTATCATTGAGAATTTTTATCTATATTTTTTACCACTGTAAATAATGGGGCAATAAATTTTCCTGTACATAAAATATGGCCTGCATCTCTGATATCTTCCTTTCAATAAATTCTTAGAAATGGAATATTATGGACATTTTAAGACAACAATATACTGGAAAATATGCTTCCAGAAAGTTCATGCAAACATTGTAAAACAATGCTTAGTCCACTGTAACACAGCAACACAACACTATGTATTATGTGTTTTAAAAAACATTTGCTGATTTGATAGCCAAGAATATTTTACTGTTTACCGTAGTAAATGTTGACAGTCAATAAATAAGACTTACTTCAAGTTCCTAGTGCAGAGTTTTCCTATGTCCAATTTGGTACTTCCTGTTTGGATTACCAAGTTTCAGAAACATTAATATGAAGTCAAATGACATCACAGACTATGATATGTTTCCTGGACTCAATGGAGTTAATATTAATGTATTAATAAGATGTGTTGCTGTATGATTTCATGGAGGAACATTGAACTCAAATTTTCAGAAAGTTTAGTTAAATTACCAGCTACTGTTCTGCTAGGCTGGCATGAGAATAGGGCAGTGAGAAGAGCCATATTTTGACGTAGTGTGCCAGTGTGTGTATTGGTGCTTTAACCAGTACACACACTAGTTTCATTTTCATGTACTAAGCTCTGGCACAGAATTTACATGGTACCACTATAGTAACTTTATTTTTCTTATAAGAGTAACATTCTTTCAACCATAAGAATAAAAATATGTGACTATTCCCAAATAGTTTCTGAGACTAATGGGAAAAGAGTCACAGCCCTACAATTTGCCCAACTTGGTAGAGAAAGTGTTTTCAAAGGTCTCAAGAAGTTTCCTGTGCGGAAACACAACAATAAAATACCTTTATGTGCAAGGAATAAGCATGCACAAGTGACAACCTGTTAACATTCAGTTTGGCACATCAGCATGCATGCAGGCTTTTGGGTGTAGATGACTCAAATTGAAAGTAGTGGTGAATGGATAGTCATGTGAAGACTGTTTAGAAAATGAGTTTTGAAAACTGAGAGGGTGTCAGATAGCCGAGGCTTTGAATACTACTTGTGCCATTTATAACTGAGAAACTTAGGTAAGTTACTTACACTCTAATTTTTGGTTTAAACATGGTTTAAGACATAAATCAAACTAATAATGGATTCTTCTACTGAATTTATTATTGTAGAGTTGTGTAAGTCAAAAGTTGACATGGATCTCACTGAGCTAAAATCAAGGAATCACCAGGCTGCATTTCTTTATGGAGGGGCTAGGGAAAAATCAATTATCTTCTTTTCTCCTTCTGGAGGCTTTCCACATTCCTTGGCTTGTAGCCTCCTTCTGCCATCTTCAAAGCCAGCAACAGTGGATCAAATCCTTCTCATGCTGCCATCTCTCTGGTTCTCTACTTTTAAAGACCCGTGTGACTATATTGGATCCACCCAGCTAATCCATCTAATCTTGCCATCTCAAGTTATTTAACTTTAATCACATCTGCAAAGTCCCTTTGCAATGTAAGGTGACATATTCACAGGTTCCAGGCATTAAGACATAGGTATCTTTAGGGGCCATTATCCTGTCTACCACAAACACTTGGCCTAGTATCATGGATGTAGAATGCATAATAAAATATTATTGTTCTTGTTATTTATTGTTTTTATTACATTATGAAGAAGAAAATATCTCAGGCCATGACATTTTCAGTAGTGAAACAGATTTGATAGTGGAGAGGAGATAATATCGGAAGCAGGGAGAATGGTTAGGAAACTACTGAAGTTACCCAAGTGAGAGATAATTGTGACTTAAATAAAGGTGACATTTCTGGAGATGATAAACAGTGATCAATTTCTGATTGTATTTTTCAAAGAGATTGACATAATTTACCAATGGATTAAATGCAGGGTGTAAGAGACAGAAACTGAGAATGAATCAAAGACCCATATGCCCAAGTGTGGTCCAAATTGGTGGGAATATCTAAGGATCTAAAGAGGCCATAAGGAGAAAAGATGGACAACTTATAGCAATCTATGCATTCTATTTATTAAAGACTAATGAGAGTGATAGTAAACTGACAGAAGGTGACATCATTGGCCAAGTCAATCACCCACCTACCTGCAATTTTTCTTGGTATAATACAAGATTTTCAAAATTTGACTATAAGTAGAGAGAACCCCAAATTATTGTGACTAATTCTCTTCAACCTGGTAGGTTGGGACTTCAAAATACGAAATAGGTCAAATTATAAAAAAGTAAATGAAACCGTATTTTATACACAAGTAAGTTGTGAACCAAGATTTTTACCTACTGTATTCACCAAGCATTTGGTTCATGCCTCTAGGATAACCTTATCATTGGTTAACATGTAATTATTGGTTAACCTGTCTATCTTCTACACTAAAATCCTAAACAGTAAGAATTATGGTGTATTCTTAAAAAAAAAAACTCTATCACTGAGTATAATGTTTAGAATATGGGACATTCTTATGAAATATTTACTGGATATATGTATGGATGAGTAAATGAATTATTTTTTATCTGTAAGAGAAAGACTGCTGCTGCAAAGAACCACAGGTGGGCTAATGAAACCATACTGCTGTGAATAATCATAGATACTGAGGAGTTAAGGGGTGGAGTTGGACTCTCACTCATAATGGGAGATGTCATTTAGCAATTTGCTACAATATTTCGTTTTTTAAAATCTCCTTCAGAGTGACTGCTAGTGATTATGAGGTTCCTTTTAAGGGTAATAAAAAATGTTCTAAAATTGAATTGTGATGATGGTTCTTGCACAGTTCTGTGACTTTACTAAAAAAAATTGAATCATACACTATAAATGGGTGAATTTTATAGTATGTGAATGATATAACAATAAAGCTGTTAAATAAAAAAGCTTTTGAGTGAAATGACACATGAAAAAAAGGTTACATCAGCCCATAAAGCACATAGCCACCGTAAGTAATTGCATAATGGAACAGATATAAAAGGACTGTATGAGGCAAAAGAAGTCTTCTGGGAATCTCCACACCCTGAAGACACAGTGAGTTAGCACCACCACCAGGAATTGGCCTTTCAGCTCTGTGCCTGTCTCCAGTCAGGCTGGAATAAGTCTCCTCATATTTGCAAGCTCGGCCCTCCCCTGGAATCTAAAGCCTCCTCAGCCTTCTGAGTCAGCCTGAAAGGAACAGGCCGAACTGCTGTATGGGCTCTGTAAGTAAAACTGTTTTGTTCAATGAAAATGCTTGACTCTAGATGAATTGGACTTTCTCACCCACAGGGAGTAATTTCCTCACAATGTGCAGAATTAGATTAGATGTTGGTATGGTGGGCTGAGGAGGACGGTAGAATTTCAGAATTATTTATTCCCAGGAAATACGTAGAGAATGGGTATTTCGTTCTGCCTGATATAGGTTAGATAACTTGTTTTTAGTCAAATGGTTTAATCAGTGTGCTGATATATTTATCACAGTCAGTGAATCTCATTTCTATGCCCAATAACTATTACTAAAAATGAAAAGTTACCAATTTCGAACGCATTGCCTGCCAGCTACTGGTATTAGACACAGCGCATATCCTGTCTTATAGATGAGGAAACTGGGTCACAGAAAGTTTATATTACTTGTAGATTTCAGTAAAACAATTGTTTTTGAGAGCACGAGCTTTGGAATTAAAAAGACCTGAGTTAAAAATTCAGCTCTGACTTTCACCAGTTGTATGTGATTTCAAATATGTTTCAGACTTCTGATACTCAGTGTCTTTACCAGAAAAATGAATTTAAAGTGAATCTAATAATACTTGTCACATGATGACATAGTAAGAATTAAAATAATGCTTATAAAGCACTGAGGACAATAATGTTCACAGAACACGTGTCCAGTAAATGGTAGCTATTTCTATGAGTAATATTTTTATTAATGGTGTAGATGGTCTCAAAACTAGTTAGTGTTTGAGCAAGAATCTGAACCCAGGTCAGTCACACATGATAGCCATACCATTGACAATAGCATGGAGAATACTGATGACACTATAAGGTCTAGTTCAGCAGATTAAGACAGCCACAAGCTATAGCTTATAATAGTGCAATGAAAGAGGAGCATCATTGTAATCCGAGTGGGCAGAAAAATTAGTTGAGAGAATATAGCTTATTTCACAAGAGAGAAAATGAAAGTATATATGGATTGGAGAGGATGGGTCGGAAAGATTCTAGAGTGAAGGCAGCACAAAAGAGAAGCTTGGGGGAAATTTAGTGCCTCCTTCTAAGGATATTCATTAGTCCCCCTCTTGTCTTGAATATAAACACTTAAGATTTTTTCAATGTAAGAAAAATGCAATGAAATAATAGCTGCAAATACCCACTACTAACAATTGCTTGGCCTTCTTATATAGACCTCCCGAGGTTCTCATCTTTTACATTTCAGGAGTAGAATCAGTTAAAAACTAATCTTTATATGTAAGGGATGAGAGAGAGAAAGAGGAGGGTATGTGTGTGCACACATGTGTGTGTGTGTGGTGGGTAGTAATTTTAATTCAATGATTTACTAGAGTTCGATGTCGTTTGCTGATAAATGAAGCAGGAGGAAGAGCCAGGTTTGGAGGGGACGAGAGAATGAGTTCCATTTGTCTCATATAGAAGTTGAAGTAACTGAGTGATGATGGGTAGAGATGTCCCTCAGGGGTAGCCACAGTATTTTATTTACTTTTTATTCACCACATGCAGCAAGGAGCTTTGTTCTCCAAAATGCTGTCAATTATTTTTCTAAATTACAGGTTTGATTGCTTCACTGTATTTTCATGTCTCATTACTACCTTTACGCTTAAAACCAGAAACTTTGCCACAGCGTTAAAGATTCTGCTAACTTTTAAAATACAGAACTCTGGAGATGCCATAATTAGATTGCAGATTTATGAGTCTTCTGGATATAAGTGCTATTTAAAGCCATGAGAATAACCAAGATATCTCAAGGAGAGCATATGAAAAGCAAGAAAAGAAGAGGTACTTCTTGGGAGAAAAGCAGACTCCTCTAGAATCCCACAATTTATAAGGCAGAGAACAAAACCATTGTTTAACAAACAGGAAAAAAAAAAACCTCACAGAATAACCATCACTGAAGCTAATGAAGGAGAAAGTTTCAAGGAGGAGGAGGTAAACATTGCTGAAAGTTGAGATGAGGGAGAGAAAAACAAATCTGAGATTAAACTTTTGGACTTGGCATGTAGAAAATCACGGGTGACATCATTTGGAGGATTTTCAGAGTCATTAGGGAAAGAATTCAGATTGTTACTGAAGGTGAAGGAATAATAAACAAAAGCAGACTGTTCTCCAAAGGAATTTTTATCCTTATAAAAGATACAGCAGGAAATTGAGAGAGAAACAGGGCTTATGTCTTGTATCCCTCACTATCAAAGCACAAGGCTAATTATGAAAACTATTCAATATATCCTGGTTGAAATGAATTGTTTGGAAATATCTATACAAAACTGTGGGAAGCTTTTATTGTTGAGTTAGAGTAAAACTTGAGTATTGCAGACTTCAAAAAAGCAACCAATGGCACTAAACAAGATACTAAAGAGGGAAAGGAATTTTGTTGGCATTAAATGAGAAGAGATGGAAAATGATTTATTTATTAAAAGCAAAGCTCCTTGCTTCCAGTGGTCAATAAAAGGTGAATAAAATGTTAGAAATGTCTGGCTCTTGATGCTCTGCAAAAATTTAAGTTCATTACACTGTCCATGGAATTCAAGATTTTCATGATTTGACCTCTGGTGCTTTCTCTAGCTTCATTTCCCACAGCACCTAGCCTCACATTTAAGACTTCGATATACCCCTTCTCTTGTAGTTATCCAACAAACTGGCTTATGTTATTCTTTCATTCATGTCTCTCCTCATTTTATCAACGGCACTGCAAAAGCACACTTCCCCTGTTTTTCATCCTTATAAACTCACATTTACCCATCAAAACTTCACACAGTTATAAAGCATACATTCTGTTAACATTCTTGGAACTAGTTCTTCTTGACACACACAGACACATTCATGTATGCACACACTCCAAATCTGCCACTCCACACTATTATCTCTTCTGCCTTATCAATTAGATACATCCTATCCTTATACACTCTACAACTAGTAGCATTTATCTGTTTGTTTCTGTTACTGCTGATAGACGCTGTCTGGCATGTAGTAGATATTTAAAATTAGTCATTTTTTATTTTCAGTAAGAGTCCCTAGACTCTTGACACAGCAAGCTCAGCTCCCTGCATATGTGTGTGTGTGTGTGTGTGTGTGTATATATATATGTATGTGTGTGTGTATATATATATACGTATATATGTGTGTGTGTATATATATATATGTGTGTGTATATATATATATACACGTATATATATGTATAGTTTAGTTCAGTTTGAACTGAACTAAGTGTTTCTGGTTGATAGGAGCTAAAGTGGAGTTATTGGCTAGGAAAAAGAATAAGGTACCCTCTGTCTCTGAGCCCAGCGTGAACGTAGGAAGGATGCAGGAAGATATGCTTGTAAAGTGATGGAAAGGAGAGAAGTCATTTTTTTTTTGCTAGGCCCAACACAGATCAGGTCAAAATATATACACTATGGTTTTCTTTTGTTTTGTTTATGATCTCTTGGCAAGAAGGAGGAAAAAAACTACCAAGAAGAATGAAAATAGGCAATGAATAAATTGTTGAAATGAGGTAATGGGAGATATGAAGAAGTTAGGATGAAAGAGAAATTATTCAAATAGCAATTTAATTTTTTTAAGTGGTTACATAAAATGTCCTACAACACAATGACAAAAATTACAACTCAGATATTGCGTAGGAACTAAAAATCATGAAAGCCAGAATTAATTGACATAAATGGAGCCCCTCTGTACTTTCATAACCATTTTTATTATTCATCGCTGTATATGAGATATTGAAATTATTGAAAAACGGTTCTGCTCTTTCTGCCTCACTGGATTATAAACTCTCTAAGTGGGGTTTTATTTGTGTTGTCCTTTAGCTTCTAAAATAGCACTATGTAAGATCCAGATACTCAGTTAATGTCCCTGAGATAGTAAAGCAAGATCAAGAGAAGTGTTACAAGTGCACTGTTGCTCAACAGTTTTTTGTTTGTTTGTTTGTTTTTTGAAACGGAGTCTCGCTCTGTCGCCCAGGTTGGAGTGCAATGGCGCCATCTCGGTTCACCTGGAAGCTCCGCCTTCCAGGTTCACTCCATTCTCCTGCCTCAGCCTCCCCAGTAGCTGGAACTACAGGCGCCCGCCACCACGCCCGGCTAATTTTTTGTATTTTTAGTAGAGACGAGGTTTCACCATGTTAGCCAGGATGGTCTCGATCTCCTGACCTCGTGATCCGCCCACCTCGGCCTCCCAAAGTGCTGGGACTACAGGCGTGAGCCACCGCGCCCAGCCTGCTCAACACTTTTACACATGCCGTTCTGAAAGCCTGGGAATTCTTCGTCTCAACTTACATAAAACACAGAAATCTTTCAAGCACTGCTTTTTCTAGAAAGCCTTCTCCAAATACTACAAACCTACTGAATGCTCTCTTTCTGGTAATTCCTTTTTAGTGTGTTTTGGTTTTTCAAAATCATTTTATCTTATTTCTAGTTGACAAATAATATGGTATATATTTGTGGGGTAAAATGTGATGTTGTTATACATGTATGCATTGTGGAATGACCAAATCAAGCTAATTATCATATCCATCACCTCAAATATTTATCATTTCTTTGTGCTGTGAACATTTAAAATTCTCTCTTTTAGTTTTTTTGAAATATACTATACATTAACTATAATTCTTATTTCTCTAAGAGGTTTGATCATACATTTTAGATATTTTCATCACTCGCCTGAGGACACTGTCATTACTGTAAATTTCAGAATCTAAAGCTATAGTTTCATTATTTGGCCAAATCGTGTAATCTATAATTTCTTGTTTTTCATCTAGTTTTCTGTTAATTTTAGTTAAATCACACCCCCACCCCCCCTTTTTTTTTCACTAAGACTTCTTCCGGTGATCCTTGAGGTGGCACTTTATCAGGGTGAATGTGTGAGTCTGGATACGTTGAGGTTCCTCTCCATCCTCTCTTTTGTCAACACTTACTGTCAGCCACCCAGCACCCTTTCTTTTCCTCTGAAGAAGTTACCCTGCAACTGGCTCTCTCTCATTGATTGAGCCCTCTGCAGCCACAACCCTAATCTCTGTTTTTCCCTAGACCCCCGTCTTCAACTCAACCATACCCATCTATCTACCTTTCTGCAATTCTCTACTCTATGAAAAAAGAAATGTGATGTTTGCAATAAAGTTATATTTTTCCCTCCGAAACAAAACAGTAACATTCAATTAGGTATCTCCTAAGAAGTATGTCTTAACAAAATAGAGAGATTCTGTTCTGGAGAACTAGTCTTCCAGCAGACTGAAGAGAGAACTGTGTTGGAACGTGGCAGCACATTATATCAGGTGGGGGCAGCCTCCTGTCTTCCTAAGCCTGGTGGGAGGTCTGTGTTCTAACCATCTCTTCCAAATATGATGCCGGGTATCATATTGTAAGGGTTTCTTTAATGGTTAGATGCTGAAGCCATTTATTTGTCACTTCCTATGTGTTACTTTGTATTATAATGATCTCTTTCTTCATATTTTCTGGCTTCCCAAATTGTCTGTAAGCTTCTCTGCTTTCCACACTTATGACCAATGTAATATTGCTGTTCCACAGCCCCAGTGTATTTTTCTCTGGTGCCAACCATAGAGGAAAAATAATGCACTACCTCTTTAGCACAATTTAAACATGCCATAAAGAATGAAATATGATTGGCAAACTCAGGGTAAAGTGTTTATTCTTAGTTTGGTTATCTATGGCTAGAACGATCAGAGGAGTGGTCACATGATATAAACATAGCTGCCAGCAAAGGGCCCTAGAGAAGAAAGATTGTACACTAAGGCAAATTCAAAAACAAACCAAAGTGCCCACTACAGCAGTTGAAATCTGACATTTTTTAATCAATTTAAATGAGCCATTCATAGTTTCATATTATATAAATACTCATCAGTTTTCTGTACAATAAAATTATTTTAATTCGATCAATACACAAATGAATGTAGCTTTTTTTTGTTTAAGCTCTCATCTCGTTCTGTACTTTTAATTCATCACGTCAACTTTGCAGAATATCACCTCCACTTCCATCATTTTCCTGCTCACTGGTGTTCCTGGGCTGGAAGCCTTCCACACCTGGATCTCCATTCCCTTCTGCTTCCTCTCTGTAACTGCTCTCTTGGGAAACAGCCTGATCCTCTTCGCTACCATCACTCAGCCCAGCCTCCACGAACCAATGTACTATTTCCTCTCCATGCTGTCCGCCACTGACCTCGGCCTGTCCATATCCACTCTGGTCACCATGCTGAGTATATTCTGGTTCAATGTGAGGGAAATCAGCTTTAATGCCTGCTTGTCCCACATGTTCTTTATTAAATTCTTCACTGTCATGGAATCCTCAGTGCTGTTGGCCATGGCTTTTGATCGTTTTGTGGCCGTCTCTAATCCCCTTAGGTATGCCATGATTTTAACTGACTCCAGAATAGCTCAAATTGGAGTGGCAAGTGTCATCAGGGGGCTCCTAATGCTGACACCAATGGTAGCACTTCTTATAAGACTTTCCTACTGCCACAGCCAAGTACTCCACCACTCCTACTGCTACCACCCTGATGTGATGAAGCTCTCATGCACAGACACCAGAATCAACAGTGCAGTTGGGCTGACTGCCATGTTCTCTACTGTTGGTGTAGACTTACTTCTCATCCTCCTTTCTTATGTTTTGATCATTAGGACTGTCCTTAGCGTTGCTTCCCCAGAAGAGAGGAAGGAAACCTTCAGTACATGTGTCTCCCACATTGTGGCTTTTGCTATATATTACATTCCATTGATCAGTCTGTCCATTGTTCACAGATTTGGGAAACAAGCCCCAGCCTATGTACATACTATGATTGCTAACACCTACCTGCTGATCTCCCCTTTGATGAACCCTGTCATCTACAGTGTGAAAACCAAACAGATACGTAGAGCTGTGATAAAAATTCTCCATTCCAAAGAAACATAAAATTGTAGAATTCTAGCACTAGATGGACCCCTCAAGATGGTATACTTCAGGTCATGTTTCCAATTAAAAACAAAAAACAACCAAAGAACTGGTGCCCATTGAAGCTAAGCACATAATCATTTAAAGTTAAAGCTGGAATGTATCTAGAACATCAGCTAGTTTGACTACTTTATTTTCCAGATGAGGAGGTGAAGACATGGGATGGAAGAGATGAACAGCCTAAAATTAGCCTTATATATAAAATTTCTCCTTCTCACACCACTGTTGGGTCCAAACTGTTGTTGCCTTCTGTCCCTGCCAACACCCTTTCTGTTATTATCTCATCTACTTCATAGCCTTTAGAATGACACATTACAGAAAAGTCACTCCTTTGTGAGAAATAGGTAGTATTTTCCAACTGTTCTAGTAATTTCGATTGCCATTTATTATTTGCTCTGACAAGTCATGGTTCTAAGTGTTTTTTGTATGTATTAACATATTTTATATCTAAAACAATGTTATAAGATAATCACTTTAATTATCAATAAGAAAATTGAGGCATGAAATGTTAAGTAGCTTGCTTAAACAGCTAGTAACTGGTGTTGCTGATGGCAGAGCACATCCATGCAGACTGACTCCAGAGTCCCCCACACTCTTAATTTTAATGTTATATTGCTACCTATAATATAATATATAGGTATATAATTTATATATAATTTATATTTGTAAAAATTATATGAACTTATATATATAAACTTATATTTATAAATTATGTACTTATATGTGTAAATTATATTTATATTTATAAATATAAATATAGAGAGAAGTTCAGGCAATTTTTACTAGGAAACATAAAGAAGTAAAAAAATTAATTAAAAAAAACCACAACTCTATCCTCTAGAAATTTTCAGTCAAATTAGGGAGAAAAAGCCCAAATCAAATCTTCATACCTTACAGATATATTTCTACCTGATGATCTTTCCTGACTCAAGCATATTTCAGCATTTCTGTCAACCCTCCATCAACATTCTGCCCCAGCAGAAATGGAAAGTGACTACAAATGAATTATGGTCATTTACTTATGAATTTTTAAATTTGTGTCATAATGGTCATGTAATGGCTCAATTCAGAAAGATAATTCATTCCACCCTGGGTGTGTCCATTAATTCTCAAAATTTTTAAAGCATATATTTCAATGCCACACTAATATCACTAATTTAAGATGGGCTGTATAGTTGGTATCAGGTCCAGAAAGGAAGTAGAAGTAATCATTCGTATCTACAGGCTTGCCCCCTCGCTTTATGGAGATCTCTGCCAACTGCACCTTATTACAGGGCCCTTGATGTTATAATAATTATAATAGCAATACCTCTCCCTCAGTTTCTTCCTGTATTCACTCTCATCCTTACCTGCCTTATTTTTAATTTTTAGCATTTTTATTCCCCAACATATTACATATAGGCTGTTTCTTTTCTGGTTTCCTCATCATTCCCTGTAGGAAATTTATTAAGTGACTATAGTATTTATAGTACTGTAAGAATTATGTCAAATCCTCAGCCTGTTTGACAACAACATTTCAGTTTCAATTATTGTTACTCTTCATCTTTATATGTTGCAATGTCCTGGGACTTTGTTCTCAGACCTTTTTGCTTTGTCATAATCCCTTCCTTGGTCATCCCATCCAGTATCATGTCTTTAAGTACCATCTCTATGCTGACAAAATCCAAATTAATATTTGTAGTTCAGACTTATCCCACTGCCTGTGTATCAATATCACTACTTGAATGTTTCATAATCATCTTAGAATCAACGTCTAATATATACTAATATCCCCATCAAGGAAAAAGCATGCTCACCCACAGTCTTCTCTAACTCAGTAACTCTACCTTCCAATGTGTTGAGACAAAGCACTTGGAGTTATCCCTGATGCCTTTCTATCACCCCGATGCTACATCTAACCTTTTAGTAAATCCTGGTGACCCTTTCTTCTAGATCTCTCTGATATTGATGTCTAAAATCAAGTCAATTTATACCATCTCTACTGCTACCACTGTGATGCAAGCCATCATCTTGGACCTGAATTATTATAACAGCTTTCTGGTGGTCCTTCCTTCATCCACGTTTGCTTTACAGTCTATTTCCCCCCACAGTGAAGTTAGACTGATTAGTTTAATGCACAAGGCAGATCAAGTTCAATATACCCCAAGGGCATCCTGTCTTACCCAGGAAAAATTCACAGTCACTATAAAAGCATATAAATATCTATATGATCTATATTTCCTCCATCAGCCCAATATCATCTTCTACTACTCTGCCAGTGATTCACTCTATGTCACCCACACTAGCTTCCAAATATTTTCTTAAACTCATCAAGCATGCTTCAACATCAGAGTTCACACATGCTATTCTCACAACCTGGAATGTTCGTCCTCCAGAGACCCACGTGACTTACACCTCACTTTAGACAGATCTCTGCTCAAGTGCACCCCATTACAGGGCCCTTGATGTTATAATAATAACAACAACAACACCTCTCCCTCAATTCCTCCTGAATTCACTCTCATCTTTATCTGCCTTATTTTTAATTTTTAGCATTTTTATACCCCAGTATATCACATATATGTTATTTATTTTCTAGTTTCATTACTACAACATGATGTTTTTGAGAATAAAGAATTTGTTCCATTTATGCTATCTCCCAGCCCTAAAACAGGGCCTGCCTGCCACATAGTAAAAATAGTAAAATGTCTTAATGATCTGGCTCTGTTTACCTCTTAAGCTTCATTGCTTCCCCTCTGTACAATGCCCCAGAGACAACAAACAACCTGCATGTCCTAAGTCCCAGCAAAGAATCCCCTGACCCTTTTAAGCCTACCTCCACCTAGAATATTCTCACTCCCTTCCTTCTCCTGACTTAGAATAGAAGGGGCTCTCCTTCAGGGACTTTTCCTGACCTCTCTGGTCTGCCTGGTGCCCTTTCCAGGTGCTCCTACAGCACCTTGTTCTTCTCTCTCAAGACAACTCTTTCCAAACTCTCTTGTCACCATTCTCCCCACAACAAACTCTGAGCTCACTTCTCGGGGCCAGGCACTGGGTCTGTTCACTGCTGTTTCCACATTTCTATCTATAGTGTCTGGTCCATTGTAACTTTTACTCTTCATTGAATTAATGAAGAAATACTATCTTTGATGTGTAAGGATTCAGATGGCACACAAGAAGATAACAAAGTTCTTTTATACCAGAAAGTTCTTCATATCTACAAATATACTTTCATGAAATTTCACATTTTGGAGAATACTGTGCCAAGTACTGCCATTTAGTATAAAACGTTTGCTCCTTTTCATATGACCTAGTATACCCTGATCCTAATCTTGTGAAGCTTTATTTCCACTTCCCAACATAAAACTTGCTTTGTCTAGTGAATGAATGTAGGTAAGAGTAAAAATTAGGAGGCCACTTTAAAGAGGTGTTTTATATTTTGAATAAACTGCCAGTTTATTTCTACATATTTCTTTCCCCTTCTATTCCCTAATACGTACCCCTGCAGATCATCTTTTCATATCTATAACTCACAATGAAGCAAAAACAAAAATCCAGAGAAGCTACAGGCAGGTCCAAAGTGGAAAGATGGAAAAGCTCAGATGATACAGGCCTACAGACTAGATTTTTTGTTTATTTGTTTCTGTACACTACTACTACAAAGGATAGCAAATAGAGCTGAAGGAAAAGGATGGAGATACTCAAAGTCCTAAAAATGGAAAGGAGAAAAGGGAATGTCAACCTCAAGGACAACTGAGATGTTCACAGAACTTCTGCAGATTCTCGTCCCCCACCTCACCTCACAAATGCTAACCTGTGGACAGTCCTCCTGTCCAACAGTCCTGGCAGCTTATAAGCTTCCATCTATAGGAAATTGGTAATGTAGACACCGAGACTGGGTGGGTTGCAGAACAAATGTCATGCTCTGACCAAGATGGATAAGCTCACAATGAGTTGGGGACTTTCCTAAAAGCCAGAGCACTAGTAGTCACATGGCCACTGTTGTAGCTACGTGAACATGGTAGTGGTGGTGAAGATGGAAATAAGAGGAAACATGCAAAAGATTTTTAGAAGGAAAAATAGACAAGATCGGTTGAATAATTGGATGTGAAGGATGAGGAAATGCTATGTATCTTAAGTTCCTGTCTCACATGACTAAATTCATAAGCACTTCCACTTCGTCCTCCTCAAATTCACCCTCCCAACAGCTTCTGGAATAGCAATCTGAAACACATGTCTAGTTGTGATGTCCCTGCTTAAAACCATTTATTCACCTCCCAATTCCTACAGGATGAAGTCCTTGAGTTCACAGCATATCATCAGTTCACATCCATTGACCTCTCCAGTTTCTCTTTCCTTTTTGGTTGACTCTATGCTTCAGCCAAGCTACAACTCTTCGTAATTCTTCTATAGAAAATTCTGTTTCTTTCATGATTTTCTGCCTGCTGAAATACCCTCTTTTTGGACCCACCCAATGACTAAATAAATACCCTTCTCAAGTTCCTATAAAAATCTGTGGCATTCACTGCTCTTTCATACCATTTCAGGTTTGTTTGGGTAGGTGTGTATGACCACCCTGAAGGCAAGGACTTTGTCTTATTCACCTCTGGCACCCTAAACTCAGCACAGTGCCTGCACAAAACTAGCCTTGAGAATGTGCTTATTACACAATGAATGAATTAATTAACTCCATTGCCAGATATAGATGACCAATAAATACTTAATGGCTGATGGAAGTACTTCTGTTTCTGTGTTCAAAGATTACAGTGACAATGACAAAGCAAGACTCATGTGTGAGGCATACTTAGAAAGGATGGCAGATAGAACAGGTTAGTGTTAAATATTAATAAAGTATGAAGGTAACCCTGCTGGGTATGACGTAGGGGACACGTCACTGGAAGACAGCCATCAAGCATCATGAGGTACTGAGGATACCTCAATATCCTGGAGAAGGTAGTTGGGGTGAGTTTTTTTTATCTATTTTGCTTATAACATTGTAAGCCTTTGACAAACATTTGTTTAATGTGAATAAACAGTCGGAATACCTGGTTCTCCAACCAATATTATCACTAATTAACTATATGACCTAGGACAAAAAGCTGTCATATCATCTGGGCTTTATCTGTAATCTAGGAGCAATGAAGAGCAGCTTTGATACATTAAGGGCTGTTTTGTTAACCAGAAGAAAGGTTAGGGAAAGATATGGAGAATTGCATGCCCCTATTTTGAATTATGGAACTATACTTTTGTATTTTTAGAGAGGATGCAAACTCCTAAAGCCCAAGGACCATGCCTAGTCACATATGATGTCTGCTGCGTCTAGCAGAGTGGCACATGAAGAAACACACTAATCCTGTGGCTGACTGTGTGTGCTTGGTTTAGCTTGGAGAAGTGGGAGCAGATTGTCGAGAGCCCTGTATATGTGAGTGTGGAAGTGATGGAAGAGGCAGTGGGTGCTTTGAGGTTGCTCTCCCTGGACAGGAACAGTGGGAAGCCCATGGGAATGGCACACAAGTGGACATGGAGATGTTTTTCCTCTGTCTGCCAAGTCCCTGGGGCCTCAGTTCATACTCTCACTGCCTGTTCCCATGGGCTTTCTGAGTGGCATTATTAAAAAGGCCTGAACCAGAAAGCAAAACCAGCTCCAGCTGCTCTTTCTAAGTAGGACTGTACCATTCTCAGGTGAGTGCACCCTTACCTGGGGTCAGGCAGGCTTAGCTCCTGCCATCCTAAGGGACCTTGAAGACCCCACATACTGTTTCAAGTCAGGGCAGGGAGAAGCCCTTGTGTCCCATCCACAGCTTTATGGGCTGGGAAGAAATGTCCCAGAGTCTTAGCTAACAATCAGGAAAGGCAAGTGAGAATGAATGCAACAGTCACATTCGGACCCAAAGAGAAACTGAAATTGGGTTTAGCAGGGAGTCTACTTTAGGCAGGATGCCAGGCAACATGGGAAGGTGACGTGAGGTCTTTCAGGACAGGTATTTTGGGAAATGAGATGATAGCCTAAAGTCCTATACTCGAGTAAGCATGTGCAGGTACCAGCAAGGCAGAAAATATGCTCTGCAGAGAGAGGGCTTAAGAAAGTACCCAGCTCTGGGTCCAATAAAGACTCTTGTTATCTGTCAGCACTGCATGTGGTAGCATGGGCAAAAGGCATTAAGAAAGTAAATATACGTCCCTGTGTTCCCCTTGCTCTCCCTCCATGCCTGCTCTTTTCTTCACCCTGGGTCCCATTTCTCTGGAACACAGTGGTCTAGTGATCTGACCTCTCTTCAGGGAAGGTTCCTTAGTTCTGTCCCATATATTTCAGTATGATTTGTTTAAAGTTCTATATCCCCTTCCCCAAGCTATGACGGATACAGAAATGGATGGATGGATGCAAGATGCAAACTATCTTGTATCTCACTAAAGGATGCAATCATCTGCTTCTGAAAAGGGCTTTTCATGTTCTGATAGCAACTGGGAGCCAAATATGGGATTTAATATTTGTCAAGGAGCTTAGCTGTTTTGTCTGCACAAGTTCTGAAGGTGGAGAAGAGAAAATACAGGCAGAAGTATGGGTTTTGTAACCTTCAAACCCCAAATCTGTCCTTCTTTGCTTATCCAAGATGGGGAGAATCCAGTTCAAATCTCTTTGTACTAATTTTATCATATTGTACTTTAAGATCACTGGTATCTAACCCCTCTACATTAAGGCCAAACTGAAGGGCATCTCCCAGCTGCAGTAAGAACTCAGATGATGAGTGAAGAATTCTGGGGTTGGGGGAGTGCAATATAAGCAAGCTAACCTGTTTCAATGAAACAGATGATCAATGAAGACACTGCATCATTTGTTTCCAAAAGTTAGGCCTTGCAGCCAAGGCTTTGGCTTTTTAGAGAAAATTAGCTCTAAAGACCAGGGCACCTAGGCAACCTAGCAGAGAAGAAGTTTCATGAAGTCAGAGCCCAGGTGTTTGGGTGAGGGTAGGGAGTTGGGGCAAAGCAACACTGGGCTTCTAAAAAAGAAATGTCTCCCCTGAGATGAATGACTTGTTGGCACAAGTTTCAGGAAAGACAAAGCTCTAAAAATATCATTGTAAAATTAATAATACTTCTCCAAAGTAAGGACTCAACTCAAACTATCCTTGGATGCAATTAAAATGGCCTTGGAAGAAGCTTTCAGGTGCGGAGGTACTCACCAGTGTCCTGCCAGCACCTTCATCTCTGAAGAAGTCATCGGAGGGAGCCACTACCTTGATTTTATGACCACAGATGAGTTTCCTTTAATCCGAAAGAGATTGACTTTTGGCATTTTTTTCTTAGTTTTTGTTTATTTATATTCTTTTAAGCTTTAAAAAAAAGTGTCATTGCTGTGCTTCTTATTCCTCTGGCTGACTTTAGAATTGAGGACTGGGAATCCTGAAAATTTGCAAAGTTATCTCCTATCCTCACTGCCTTGGAACACCCATTATTCCACTCTGTCTAATTTCTACTCATGTTTCAAGTCTAAACAGGAAGATTCCTCTGTGATCATGCCTCTCCCTTTCTCATGAATTAAATGCATATATTATGCTAGTAATGCTTCTGGAATGAATGAATAATAGAAAGAAAGAAAGTGGGGGGAGGGAAGCAGGGAAAGTAAAATGAGAAAGGCAGCCTTATCTGGAAGGAGCTCCCAAAAGTGTATCTCTTAACACCTATCAGAAAAAAAAGGGCCAACAAATATCCAGGCAACGAAGGTATGGACCAGTAGGAAGAATCTGAGGGAATTACATTTTGGAAAAAGCATTGCTCTCCCAAGATTCCCTTTTAAAAATTTAAATAAACCTTGAGAGTAGTGATGCATAAATGAATTTGATCTGTCACAGTCCCGCCTTTGGAAGAGGGCCTCAGAGCTTATGAAAGACCCTAAGTGGGGGTGGGAGAAGACAAAAGGGGTGGGATGTCAGTTTCAAGTTTCCAGGGCATTCTCTGATTGTGCTCTATGTCCCTGCAGACTGCCAGTGTGACCTCACCCTCTCCAGTCACCCCTCCTCAGTTCCAGCTATGAGTTCCTGCAACTTCACACATGCCACCTTTGTGCTTATTGGTATCCCAGGATTAGAGAAAGCCCATTTCTGGGTTGGCTTCCCCCTCCTTTCCATGTATGTAGTGGCAATGTTTGGAAACTGCATCGTGGTCTTCATCGTAAGGACGGAACGCAGCCTGCACGCTCCGATGTACCTCTTTCTCTGCATGCTTGCAGCCATTGACCTGGCCTTATCCACATCCACCATGCCTAAGATCCTTGCCCTTTTCTGGTTTGATTCCCGAGAGATTAGCTTTGAGGCCTGTCTTACCCAGATGTTCTTTATTCATGCCCTCTCAGCCATTGAATCCACCATCCTGCTGGCCATGGCCTTTGACCGTTATGTGGCCATCTGCCACCCACTGCGCCATGCTGCAGTGCTCAACAATACAGTAACAGCCCAGATTGGCATCGTGGCTGTGGTCCGCGGATCCCTCTTTTTTTTCCCACTGCCTCTGCTGATCAAGCGGCTGGCCTTCTGCCACTCCAATGTCCTCTCGCACTCCTATTGTGTCCACCAGGATGTAATGAAGTTGGCCTATGCAGACACTTTGCCCAATGTGGTATATGGTCTTACTGCCATTCTGCTGGTCATGGGCGTGGACGTAATGTTCATCTCCTTGTCCTATTTTCTGATAATACGAACGGTTCTGCAACTGCCTTCCAAGTCAGAGCGGGCCAAGGCCTTTGGAACCTGTGTGTCACACATTGGTGTGGTACTCGCCTTCTATGTGCCACTTATTGGCCTCTCAGTGGTACACCGCTTTGGAAACAGCCTTCATCCCATTGTGCGTGTTGTCATGGGTGACATCTACCTGCTGCTGCCTCCTGTCATCAATCCCATCATCTATGGTGCCAAAACCAAACAGATCAGAACACGGGTGCTGGCTATGTTCAAGATCAGCTGTGACAAGGACTTGCAGGCTGTGGGAGGCAAGTGACCCTTAACACTACACTTCTCCTTATCTTTATTGGCTTGATAAACATAATTATTTCTAACACTAGCTTATTTCCAGTTGCCCATAAGCACATCAGTACTTTTCTCTGGCTGGAATAGTAAACTAAAGTATGGTACATCTACCTAAAGGACTATTATGTGGAATAATACATACTAATGAAGTATTACATGATTTAAAGACTACAATAAAACCAAACATGCTTATAACATTAAGAAAAACAATAAAGATACATGATTGAAACCAAGTTGAAAAATAGCATATGCCTTGGAGGAAATGTGCTCAAATTACTAATGATTTAGTGTTGTCCCTACTTTCTCTCTCTTTTTTCTTTCTTTTTTTTTTATTATGGTTAGCTGTCACATACAACTTTTTTTTTTTTTGAGATGGGGTCTCGCTCTGTCACCAGGCTGGAGTGCAGTGGCGCGATCTCGGCTCACTGCAACCTCCACATCCCATGTTGAAGTAATTCTTCTGCCTCAGCCTCCCGAGTAGCTGGGACTAGAGGAACGTGCCACCATGACTGGCTAATTTTCTGTATTTTTTAGTAGAGACAGAGTTTCACCATGTTGGCCAGGATGGTCTCGATCTCCTGACCTTGTGATCCACCCGCCTCAGCCTCCCAAAGTGTTGGGATTACAGGTGTGAACCACTGTGCCCGGCCTGTGTACAACTTTTTAAATAGGGAATATGATAGCTTCGCATGGTGGTGTGCACCTATAGCCCCCACTGCCTGGAAAGCTGAGGTGGGAGAATCGCTTGAGTCCAGGAGTTTGAGGTTACAGTGATCCACGATCGTACCACTACACTCCAGCCTGGGCAACAGAGCAAGACCCTGTCTCAAAGCATAAAATGGAATAACATATCAAATGAAACAGGGAAAATGAAGCTGACAATTTATGGAAGCCAGGGCTTGTCACAGTCTCTACTGTTATTATGCATTACCTGGGAATTTATATAAGCCCTTAATAATAATGCCAATGAACATCTCATGTGTGCTCACAATGTTCTGGCACTATTATAAGTGCTTCACAGGTTTTATGTGTTCTTCGTAACTTTATGGAGTAGGTACCATTTGTGTCTCTTTATTATAAGTGAGAGAAATGAAGTTTATATTATCAAGGGGACTAAAGTCACACGGCTTGTGGGCACTGTGCCAAGATTTAAAATTAAATTTGATGGTTGAATACAGTTACTTAATGACCATGTTATATTGCTTCCTGTGTAACATCTGCCATTTATTTCCTCAGCTGTACAAATCCTCTGTTTTCTCTCTGTTACACACTAACATCAATGGCTTTGTACTTGTGATGAGAGATAACCTTGCCCTAGTTGTGGGCAACACATGCAGAATAATCCTGTTTTACAGCTGCCTTTCGTGATCTTATTGCTTGCTTTTTTCCAGATTCAGGGAGAATGTTGTTGTCTATTTGTCTCTTACATCTCCTTGATCATGTCTTCATTTTTTAATGTGCTCTGTACCTGTCAAAAATTTTGAATGTACACCACATGCTATTGTCTGAACTTGAGTATAAGATAAAATAAAATTTTATTTTAAATTTTGCTGAGTGTTATGCCTATTGATTTTACATTTATAGAATCCTATAAATCAGAATTGGAGATGTGAGTGATTTCCTAGTCTTCTTTCTCACCAGTGCAGGAATCCTGACTGGAATGGTTCACACGTTAGTAAGGATGCTGAATGCATCTTATTTCAAGGTAGGGTATTCCCACTGTACTTTTGAGCAGATCCAGTGAGCAGCTGAGATCTGAATACAATCATTGGGCCTATATGTTCCCTCTGTAGCTTCACTAAACAAGTCTTGGGTGCAGGACTTGGGTAGATAAACCATGAGGGAGACTCTATACTGTAGGCTCTCTCTTAGGAGGAGGGAACCACAGATACTTGATGTGTACTGATGACAGATTCTGCTAGCATATAGATCTGTGAGCATTCAACTGTGCTTCATTGTTCAGAGGCAGTAAAGTGGCTTCCAAAGTCATGCAGTTAATCAATGTGCATAGGCCAGGGCTAAGGGGAGAAAACACAATGGAAGAAATGGGTGATTTCTCTAAAGAAATGAAAGTGTACCCATGCTCTGTAAAGTGGAGATTCAGGTGTTGGGCCCCACCCTCAAATAATGAGGTCAGGTGCCTCATTTTATGAGGTTAAACTCTGTTATGTCTCTCCCCACAATCTCAGTCCTCTTCTACCTTCCTGTCCGTTGCTTTACCGCAATTTGGATCCTCCAGCCTACTTCCATATGCCTAACAACATAGCCATATTGACAATTTAATGAATAGTGGATTTCTTTCTCTCTCTTCTGTGAATAGCTAATCCCTTACTGTCTCCCACTATGATAGGTTGTTTATATATTCTTACTATCTCCTCTCCCCTTTCCTCTGTCCTAAGATTTTTAACTTTTAAAAGTAGCCCAGGCTGGGCACGGTGGCTCACGCTTGTATTCCCAGCACTTTGGGAGACTGAGGAAGGTGTATCACCTGAGGCCAGTAGTTTAAGACCAGTCTGGCCAATATGGTAAAATCCCATCTCCACTAAAAATACAAAAATTAGCCAGGTATGATGGTGGGTACCTGTAATCCCAGCTACTCTGGAGGCTGAGGCAGAAGAATCACTTGAACCAGGGAGGCGGAGCTTGCAGTGAGTCCAGATCACCACCACTGCACTCCAGCCTGGGCGACAGAGTGACACTCCTTCTCAAAAAAAAAAAAAAAAAAAAAAGTAGGCCAAAGACTTCTGTGCCAATGTTCATAGCAGCATTATCCACAATAACCAAAAGGTGGAAATAACCCAAATGTCCATCAACAGATGAATGGATAAACAGAATGTGGTTTATATATACAGTGGAATATTATTCATTCTTAAAAATCTGGTACCTGCTACAACATGGATGAAACTTGAAAACATTATGCTAAATAAAATAAGCGAGATGATAAAAGGACAAATAATATATGATTCCACTCATATAAGGTATCTAGAATAGGCAAATTCATAAAGAAAGAAAGTAGAATACAGGTTACCAGGGGCTGGGGGAGGGGAGGATGGAGAGTTATTGTTTATGGGTGCAGAGGTTCAGTTTGGGATGATAAAAAAAGTTCTGGAAATAGATAGTGGTTATGGTTGTACAACAATATGAATCTGCTTAATGTTACTGAATTGTACACTTAATGTTTAAAATGTTAAATTTTATTTTATGTATGTTTATCACAATAAAAATTGCAAAAATAATGTAAAACTCTCATTATCAATTTTATCTTAAGAATATGTTGAAATGATTATATTTTAGATGTTAGGTTTAAAATATATTATTGTTTTTTTTTTTTCTTTTTTCAAAATGTGTTGCCAGGTGCTGTGGCTCACGCCTGTAATCCCAGCACTGTGGGAAGCTGAGGTAGGAGGATCGTTTCAGCCCAGGAGTTCAAGAGTAGCTTGAAGAGGATGATATTTAGTTCAAAGTAATAAAGTTTTAATAGTAGGACTACCAAGGTTGTAACAGGGCCATTATTTATAGTGGCAATTTTTATAGCCTTCAAATCCCATCCTGAAGGATACCAGCTGTATGTACATCTGGTCACCTAGCCTAAGGCTGAGCAAACAGAAGGCGGGAGACCAGGCTTCCTGGCACTGTGCACACTTAGGTAAGTCAACTTTCTCTTCTCCATTTTTCTACCTATAACCTTATTGTAGGTTTCATTTCTCAGACAGCAGTACAGAAATAGAAAAAAGATCCTTCAATTATACTTTGTGTAATTGAATTATACAATTCAATTATAATTATGTAAGTATAATTATACTTTCAATTATCCTTCTATGACTGTCAAGTAATAATTTAGCAATACCTTACTGATTGGAATAATAAAGTTGTGATCATGTGGCTGAGAAAAAAATCATATGACCTTGTGATGGTTAATATTATGTGTCCACTGGCTGGACCACAGTACCCAGATACTTAGTCACACATGTTTTCTGGATTTTCCTGTAAGGGTGTTTTTTTCCAGATGAGATTAATGTTTTAATCAGAGGACTTCGAGTAAAGGAGATTGTCCTCCATAATGGGGGTGGGCCTCATCCAATTAGTTGAAGGCCTTAATAGGCCAGAATGACCGCCCCTGGGCAACAAGAATTATCCCAACAGACATGGCCTGAGGACTTAATTGCCATGTTGGTTCCACGTTGGCTCTGCAGTCTACTGACTTACCCTGCAGATACTGGATTCACTAGTCTCCATTGCGTGAGCTGATTCCTCAACATAAATATCTCTATTTCTCTATCTCTACATATTATCTATCTATCTATGTGTCTATCTATCTACATATCTCCTTTTGATTCTGCTTCTCTGGAGAACTCTGACAAATACAAACCTAAAAGTTATAAAAGGGGGAAAAATTGTCCCTGTGAGCAGCTAACCTGTGAAGGGAGAACTGAAAATTGAAAGAAACCCCATAAAAAAGACAACATGCAAAACACAAATTAAATTAACTGGGCCAGCCCAATCTAAGGTCGGCATCACAAACTATACAAGTCCAAATTCTTTTATTTATTTATTTATTTATTGAGACACAGTTGTCTCAATACACTCTTGTTGCCCAGGCTGGAGTGCAATGGCACGATCTCAGCTCACTACAACCTCCACCTCCCGGGTTCAAGCGATTCTCCTGCCTCAGCTTCCCGAGTAGCTGGGATTACAGGTGCCTGCCAGCACGCTTGGCTAATTTTTTGTATTTCTAGTAAATACCGGGTTTTACCACGTTGGCCAGGCTGGTCTGGAACACCTGACCTCAGGTGATCCACCTGCCTCAGCCTCCCAAAGTGCTAGGATTGCAGGTGTGAGCCACCGTGCCCAGCCCCAAGCTTAAATTCTTTTAGTAACAGTTTGTTCAGACCATGTGATTGCAGATCAAAGATAAACTGATCTAACCATAACTCTGCATGAACTCACATGTTCTAAAGACAAAATCCCTGAACAATCCATGTGAAAACCATCCTATGACTAACCCTAGATCCCCCACACTCCATAAATAGGCTTCCCTAACTCTCTCCTTTTGAAATACTTTCTTCCATTGAATTGTTCTTCTTAACTGCAGCAAGTTAATAATCTAACATTGTTTGACTACAGGTATGGCCCTAGTGTTCTTTAGCTACTGGGTTTTAGCAAAATTTATAAACATAAGAATTCTGGTTTTTTTGTTTTTTTGTTTTTTTTTGAGACGGAGTCTCGCTGTCTCCCAGGCTGGAGTGCAGTGGCGCGATCTTGGCTCACTGCCTCCCAGGTTCACGCCATTCTCCTGCCTCAGCCTCCCGAGTAACTGGGACTACAGGCGCCCGCCGCCACGCCTGGCTAATTTTTTGTATTTTTTAGTAGAGAAGGGGTTTCACCGTGTTAGCCAGGATGGTCTCAATCTCCTGACCTCGTGATCCGCCTGCCTCGGCCTCCCAAAGTGCTGGGATTACAGGCGTGAGCCACCGCGCCCGGCCAAACATGAGAATTCTTAAGCACGAGGCAGAGAGTTATATAAGAAATGCCTGAAATATTTATTTGGGGGTCCTAAAAGCAGTGCCTGAGACAGGGACTTGGGTGAAGGTAGTGTAATTAAGACATGTTTCTAGAAAATAGGAGTGAGGGAACAGAGACAGTGAGACAAGGCAGAAGAAAATTCAACACAGAGTTATTACCAAGGTTGCTGCTGTGGACAATGAGCACTCAACTCTGCTAGGACTCTGTTCAGAAAGACTTGGAGAATTTCTATCCGAAGGCTGGACTAGGGCATTTGCAGTCGACTGTCTTCCTCATTTGACCCAAGGTTGCCCGCTGGGCTTTGCCTACTTCTATGGCTTTGAAGAAAGCACAAAAGCAGAAAAACGTGGAGAAATGGCACCAATTTAAAGTGGGAGAAATACTCAGAATGAATTAAAATGTCTCTCACAGTCCCCGTGAAAGTCAGAAGTGGGCCAAGGCGGTATGACATTAGACACAGAGCATCTGTTCCACCTGGTTGTGGGGAGTGGAGGGTGGTAAAGGTTTGAGAAATCTTGGATTCATGTATTTCTATTGCATTTAATATTACCGCATACTGAGGGCTTACTGTTCATCCTCCAATAAAATAATACCTTACTTACATAATCCTCAAAACAAGCATCTGGGGCCGGGAGCAGTGGCTCACACCTATAATCCCAGCACTTTGGGAGGCCCAGGCGGGCAGATCATGAGGTCAAGAGATTGAGACCATCCTGGCTAACACGGTGAAACCCCGTCTCTACTAAAAATACAAAAATTAGCCAGGTGTGGTGACGTGTGCCTGTAGTCCCAGCTACTCAGGAGGCTGAGGCAGGAGAATCACTTGAACCCAGGAGGCAGAGGTTGCAGTGAGCAGAGATCGTTCCGCTGCACTCCAGCCTGGCGACAGAGCGAGACTCCGTCTCAAAAAAACATATATAAAAAAATTAAATTAAAAAAAAAAACAAACATCTGTGTTGATGGCCACTGTTCAGACTAGGAAACTGAGGCACAGCTGGGAGTTATATAATTTTCTGAGTCACTCAATACTTCAGACTTGAACCCAGGTCTCTCTGACTTCCCAGTGTACTCTTTGTGAATGAAGATTGTAGCCTGACCAGGCAGGCATGGACCAGCATGGACTGGCATGGACCGGCCCAGCAAAGTGATGACTGATACTGGGAAAAGACTTCCCTGACAGGAGGTGACTTTGGACAAATCACATTCTTCTGTGTACTTCTGTTTTTTCCAGATGAAACACGGGCAACAGTGTAACACTTGCCCTTCGGAGATCAAGGAGGGTTCAGTCACAGGCACAGGATCATTTGCTTTCAATGTTTCTGCATCTCTTCTGCAAGGAAAAAGAGCATTAGAAGTGTAAGCCAATCTGTCCCAGTTCCCACAGGTTCTACCCACGAGAGTGATGTGAGATTTTCTTTTTCTTTTTTTTTTTTTAAGCCACTTCATTGAAGTCTGATTGACATACAAAAAGTTATAGATTTTTAATGTATACAACTTGATATATTTGAACATAAGTGATATACCCTTAAAACAATCACCGTAACTAATGTGGTAAACTTATCCATCACCTCCAAAAGTTTCCTCTCACCTCCTTTATTGTTGTTGTTGTTGCTATTGTTTTTCGTTCTGTGGTAAGAGCACTTAACGTAAGAGCTAAACTCTTAACACATTTTTAAGTGTACAATACAGTAGTGTTAATCACAGGCCCTATGTTGGGTTGCTTTTAAAGAGATGCCTTCCCTTGTGCTCCATACTACGTTCCCAAGGAGCAGGTCCAGAGAGAACCTGGGGGCAGGGGTAAAACACAAGAATAGCCTGCCCTGGGTCCTATATTGAGGGAAGGACAGAGCCCTGGAATGGAATTTGGAGCTCTGAGCTACATCTCATGTTCTGCCGCTAGGAGGATGACCTTACTTAATTCATATAATCTCTTGGGATTAACTATAAAACATGGTGATTGAATTAGGAAATCTCTAAATCCTGCCCCCATTCTAAATATTACATTCCCTGGACACCACTAAGAAGTCACAGGCAATTCCAAAAGGCCTGCAAAGGCTGACACTCTCTGTGGTGTCCTTGGAAACTATTCTCTGACCCACACGAGAAAGCCAGCCCCCTTCCCTGTGGCCACCTCTTTGCCCAAACATGGCATTTCTCCACTTGATCTCCTACCTCTTGTTCCTGCCAATTATGACTCTTCAAAAATCAAACCTGTTCCCACATATTGTGGACTTTCTACCCCAAGAGATATTCACAGGTTTCCTATAAGGAAACATAGTCCAATAAAAAGAACAGATAGTTATCTTACTCATCAACTCAATTCACTCTTTGTGGGCTGGCTTTCATCTGTTTGCTAGGGATGATAATGCTGTCTACGCTCAGTGCTTTTGTGAAAATTATGTGCAGTGATCCACAGACAATGCCCAGGATAGTATTAATACATAGTATAAACTCAACAAATACTCATTATTATTACCATGGAAACGGGATAGGTAATAATATCTGCCTCACAGGAAAATGGAGGGGATAAGAATGTGCATTGGTATGTGTGACAAGCAAGTCACAGATTTTCTTAAAACACTCACTTGGTCACATCTGCCTAGAAACTTGAAGCTTAAGAACTGGGTTCTCGTTCTCTCTCTCTCTTGCTGTCTCTCTTCTCTCTCTCTCTCTCTCTCACTGTCTCTCTTCTCTCTCTCTCTTGCTGTCTCTGTTCTTTCTTTCTTTCTTTTTTTTTTTTTCTCTCTCTCTCTCTCTCTCACACACACACAGTAGTACCAAGACTAAGATTGGAGGACAGTAAAAAGAAAGGTAGCATGGTGAGCAGGGGACGTGGGATTCAAATAGGTTTGAAGTGAGCCTAAAATGACTGATCTATGCACTGAAGAAGGAATGCCAACAGAAAGGCCAGTTTCCAATGTTGTCTCAGGAAAATATGATTGAAGTTTAAAAGGTGGTGAATTAAAAGGGAGGGGTTATGGCCACTGCTTATTTCTTGTTCACAAGGATCAGCGTCCTGGGAGTGTGTTTGCCTTCCTGTTCTCATTAATCTGGAAGGGCTTCCTGGGTGTTTTGGGAGCTGAATCAATTCACTGAGGTGGTCCTAGACAGCTTCTTCCGTGAGAGGCTTCCAGAATTGGGAGTCTCAGGCAAGTGGTCACTATAGTGAGAGTATCTTTCCCAGTGAAACAGGGTCTCCAGGGACTAAGGACCATAAAAACATTGCCCTTTTCCCAGCCATGTTTATGTTGGCCTGGTCAGTGGAGGGTACCAGTTTAGGTGGCCAATTCCCCCGGAGAGCCACAGTCTGAGGTTGCCCAATAAATAGGACAGCTCCCATCCCCCAGTAATTTCATCTAGCCCCCATCTCTGAGCAGCACATCATCTATCCCAGACTAGATTGATAAGAAATAAGAGAAGAACGTAAATGTGTTTGTGTCTGGGGATAGATATTTCCTTAGGCATTTTATTATTGTAAGAAAAGATTTACACTCAATATGTATTTATGACCAGAGATTACCAGCATCACATATTTGGGATTCTTTCCGACTATAATCATCACCAATTCTCCCAGCTGGTGCTAAAGTTATTGCCCAGTGTCCGTTTCTTAATATCATTTAATGTTAAACCTTCAAGAATGATTGACAATGTTTGGCAATGTTTGAGGACCTAAAATATAAAAGAAACAAAAAAAAAATAGTGGATATTACAATGAGTATCAGATATAAAACCAAATGTATTGAGAGCCCTCAGTGCGCCCATGGAGGAATAAACAAGGTACAGCAGCCACAGAGAAGGGAGAAACCAGCTTTGTTGTGGAGATGAAGGAAAGCTTCATGAACAGGTGACATTTAAACAGGGGCCAGATTGAGGTTTGGGGGAAGTAAGTGAGATTAAAGCAGAGGGAGTATACGGAGACATCAAATAGTGAGGTGACTTCTGACAATGCAAGAAGATTTTATTGCCAGAGCATAGGCCACGTGTTCCCCTGAGTTCTCCTAAGACAAAAGCCTAAGAGCAGCTACTCTACTGGGGACTGGACCCAGTAAGCAAAAGTCAGGGACAGGGAGTTTGGAGCAGCGAAAAGGGAGAGCCCAAACAAACATGCATTGTAGAGTTGTCCACATAATATGAGACTGTTGCCAGTTCTTGCAGTACTTGCCCATAATCTTCTTCCTGGGGGAAGTAAATGAAAAGTAATTATTCCTCCTGTATTCAATTAGTTAAGAATTGCTCCACAGAGCATTAACTCCCAAAACTGGCAGACTGCCTATGCTTGAGTATTCAGTGGGTTCCCATGGGCCCCCACGACAGAGCATCAGAGGAGAAACCCCAGGGTCCAGATGAGCCTGTGACAGGCTGCACCTGCACAGAACTGGTAGCCATAGCAGTGGCTGAAATGGGAATTGAAGTTGCAGGGATTTTAAATGATTTACAATTATCTCAGTAGCCAAGGCTGAATAGATGAATTAAAAATCTTAAAGGAGACTCCTCCCACATTGGGGAAGACAGAATAGACATATTTTCCTATTTATTTGCTAAGAACATGTTTCTATTTATTTGCTAAGAACAACTAAAAACCTTGGGCATTGTGTATAAAACAAACACAAAATTCCAAGGGTAGACAAGAGGCAGACCATCTAAGGAGCTTGGGATATGAGGAATGACATCATGAAATAGAGGAATGACATAGTGGTCATCCTTAATGATTGAATTTTCTTCTTACCTCATATATCTGACTTGGAGCTGAAGAAACTGACAACACAGAAATGCTAATGTGCACAGATAGTAAAAGCCCTCTCAAAAGCCTGCTCCCTCTAGCCAATGAAAGGGGAATCCTAGCAAGGCAGAAGATTTCAAAAAACCACTTTACTCCGGCAAAACACTGCAGAAAAAAAAACAAACTGTGACCACATGACCCCCAACTCATGTCAGCAAAGGCCAAATGGAGAACCCAGACTTCCAACCTCATGAGGCTGTAATGAGGCACCCAACACCCTCCTCAGGGTGGTGGTATCAGAGAATGTCGAATAGGCAGTTGAGACTGTCATTCCTGCCAGCCAATAATGAGTAGCCCCTTTCTCCATGGTGTCAGTGGAAACCATGTGGGTGCCTGGATTTCAACCCTCACTGGGCAGTAATAAGATGTCCATCCCATCCCCCATGGGATGATGGCAGAGGAGGCCTAGTAGAGAATCAAGATATTCACCGCCACCCCAGAGTAATGAGGACCCTCACACCATGTAATCATAAAGAAAATGTGGAGAAAATACCCATCTTCACTTAGTGGTAATAAATCTCCCACCACCAGTATCAACGGAGACCAAATTTAAAAAGAATAAAAGTTACACGCAATATGTTCTCCAATACAATGTAATCACAGAAAGATAACTTGGAAATTCCTAAATAATTAATGATAACAAAAAGCAGTCTCAATGGAAATAAAAAATAATTTGACGTGAATAAAAATGAAAATAAAACATACCAAAATTTGTATAACACAGATAAAACAGTGCTGAGAAGAACATTTGTAGCTTAAATGAATATATTAAAAAGGAAGAAAAGTCTCATATCAATAATCTAGGCTATGCCATCAAGAACCAAGGAAAAGAAGAGCAAAACAAAACCCAAAGCAAGTAGAAGGAAATGATAGAGATAAGAGAAGAAATCAATAAAATTAAAAACAGAAAAAAATAAATAAAATCTTTGAAACAGAGCTGATTCCTTGAAGAGATCAATAAAATTAATAAGCTCCTAGCAAGACTAACAGAGAAAAAAGAAAGAAGGCATGAATTAATAATATCAGGAATGAAAAGGAGGTTATTATTACAGACTCTGTGTACATCAAAAGAATAATGAGGAAATACTACAAACAATTCTATATACAGAAAAGTGGACCACTTCCTAGTAAAACACAAACTACCACAACTCCCAAAATATGAATATATAATTTGTAACCCTGTAACTATTAAGAATTGAATTTTTAGTTTATAAAATCCCCAAAAAGAAATTCATAGGTCCAGATTGTTTCACTAGAAAATTCTAACAAACATTAAAAGAAGAATTCTACACTATCTCTTCCAATAAATGGAAAAGGAGAAAACATCTCCCAATATGTTTTGTGACGTATTACTCTGATAACAAAACAGTACAAAAACCACACACAAAAAAACTACAGGCTAATATCTCTCATATATAGACACAAACGTTTTTCACAGCGCACCACACACAGTATGGCTACTAGAATGTGGAGAAATTAGAATCCTTTAACACTGTTGATAGAAATGTAAAACAGTAAAATGTTATCACAGTTCTTCAAAATATTAAAAATAGAATTACCGTATGTTCCACTGATTCTACTTCTGGGTAATCTCAAAAGAATTGAAACCAGGATCTTGAAAGTATATTTGCACACTCATGTTCATAGCAGCACTGTTCACAATAGTCAAAGGGTGGAGGCAACCAACTGTCAATGGACAGATGATGGATAAACAAATTTAGTATATACCGACAATGAAAAATTAGCCTGAAAAAGGAAGAAAATTCTGATAAGTGCTACAGCATGGACAGAGCTTGAGGACATTATGCTAAGTGAAATAAGAAAGTCACAAAAAGACAAATACTGTATGTTGTCACTTATATGAGGTAGTCAAATTCTTAGAAACAGAAAGTGGAATGGTGGTGGCCAGGAGACGGGGAAGGGGCAAACGGGAAATTGTTTGTTTAATGGGTATAGAATTTCAGTTTCACAAGATGAAAATGTTCTGGACATTAGTTATACAACAATGTAAATATGCTTAACACTACAGAATTGTACACTTAAAAATGGTTGGGCCAGGCGTGGTGGCTCACGCCTGTAATCTCAGCACTTTGGGAGGCCAAGGCAGGTGGATCACGAGATCAGGAGTTCGAGACCAGCCTGGCCAATACGGTGAAACCTCGTCTCTACTAAAACTACAAAAAATTAGCCAGGCATAGTGACGCGTGCCTGTAATCTCAGCTACTCGGGAGGCTGAGGCAGGAGAATCACTTGAACCCAGGAGGCGGAGGTTGCAGTGAGCGGAGATCACGCCATTGCACTCCAGCCTGGGCAACAGAGCAAGACTCCATCTCTAAAAAAAAAAAAAAAAAAAAAAAAGGGTTAAGGTGGTAAAGTTTATGTTATGTGTACTTTTTAAAATTATAACCAAGCATGTTTTGTTTTCAGGAGGGCCAGTCTTGTTCAATATTCAAAAATCAAGTAATCTGCCATATTAACAGCATTAAAAATAAATTTCACATGATGATATAAATTGATACAGAAAATGCATTTGATAAAAATTCAACAAACATTTATGATGAAAACTCAGAAAAATAAGAACAGAGGAGAAATTCCTCAACTTGAAGATGAGCATCTATAAATACCTACAGTTAATGTTATAGTTAATGGTGAATGACTGAATGTCTTCCCTCTAAACGTGGGAACAAAGAAAAAATGTCGACTGTCATCATTCTTATCCAACATAGTCCATAGTCAACGCAATAAAGCAGGAAAAAAAGTAAAAGGCATACAGACAAAAATAAAGAAATGAAATATCCCTATTTGTACATTATATTATATACCTAATATTACATACATAGAAAATATTCAAATAATCTATTTTTTTAAAAAACCCTAAAACTAAGTGAGTTCCACGAAGTTATCATATTATACAAGAAAAAATGATAAATTAGACTCTATTAAAGTTAAAAATTATTGCTCTGTCAAAATTCCTGCTAAGAGGATGAAAAGAGGACCCAGAGAGTGGGAGAATGTATTCCCAAACCAAGGATACAACAAAGGACTAGTATCTAGAATATATAATGTCTCAAAATAACAAAGTTATAGCGATATAGAACACATTTGTGGTTTTCAGGGGTTAAGAAGGGGATGGCAAAGGAGGAAAGTGAGCATAAATGCAAAAGGGCAACATGAGGAATCCTTGTGGTGGTGGGAATGTTCAATGCCTTGACTGTATCAATGTTAATATTCTTACTGTTTTATTTTGCAAGTGACTTTATTTTTTCCAGATTTATTGAGGTATAATTGACAAATAAAAATTGTATATGTTTACAGCATACAGTATGGCGATTTTATTTTTGTTTTTGTTTCAACTTTTATTTTAGATTCAGAGGGTACACGTGCACATTTGTTACATGGGAAAAATGCATCTGGCTGGGTTTTGGTGTATGAATGATCCCATCACCCAGATAGCGAGGATAGTATCCAGTGGGTAGTTTCTCAGCCCACACCCCCTTCCCACCCTCACTCCTCTAGTAGTCTCCAGTGTCTATTGTTGCCATCTTTATGTCCACGTTTACCCTAACAACATAATGTTTTGATATATGTATACATTGTGAAGTGATTACCACAATCGAGCTAATTAACATGCTAATCACCTCACATAGTTCCCTTGTGTGTCTGTGTGTGTTGAGAACTTTCAAGATCTCTTAGCAAATTTAAAGTATACAATCGGATATAATTAATTGTAGTCACCATGCTGTACATTAGATCAGATTTTATTCATCCCACATAACTGAAATTTTGTACCCTTTAAACACCTCCCCATTTTTCCCACCCAGCAGCCCCAATCATTGGAAACCATCATTCTACTCTCTGCTTCCATGAGTTTGACTTTTTTAGATTCCACTTATAAGTGAGATCATGTAGTACTTGTCTTTCTGTGCCTGACTTATTTTACTCAACATAATGTCCTCCAGGTTCATCCATGTTGTTGCAAATGACAGGGTTTCCTTCTTTATTAAGGCTGAGTAGTGTGTGCGTGTGCGTGTGTGTGTGTGTGTGTGTGTGTACGTGTGTGTGTGCATCACCTTTTCATTTTCCCTTTATCTGTTGATGGGGATTTGGGTTAATTCCATATCTTGGCTCTTGTGAATAATATTGCAAAGAACATGGGCATACAGATATCTCTTTGAGATACTAATTTCATTTTTTGGGATATGTATCCAGAAAAGGGATTGCTGGATCTTATGGTAGTTCTAGTTTTATTTTTTGAGGAACCTCCGTATTATTTTCCATAATGACTACATTGATTTACATTTTGACCAATAGTATACAAGGGTCCCCCTTTCCTCACCAACACTTACCATTTTTTTCATTTTTGATAATAACCATTCTAACAAATACGAGCTGATAATGTGGTTTTGATTTGCATTTCACTAACGATTATTGATGATAAACATCTTTTCAAATACCTTTTAGCCCATGGGTCCTCTTCATATTTTCAATTTAGGTCAGTCACACTGTAAGAATGAAGGGAGGCCTGTTGGGATATGCAAGACAGCAAGGAAAAATTCTTAGGTTGAATGACTCCCTGCCCCTCTAAAGAAAAAAACAGAGAGCTGGTGGCTACATTCATCTCTCCCTGTTTCAGGGCCCTTTTCTCCCCATCTAGGCCCTCAGATTGCTTGATTCATATCTTCTGTTGAAGAAAATGGAGCTCCCACAATGTCCATGAGGAGTAGACACAGGAAGTGGGGCTGCTTCCCCTGGATGTCCATCCCTGGGGGCTAAGATGGAGTGGAGGGAAGACACCACTGACCCTGACAACCTAAAAGGCTGTCACTGAGAGAGGCTACAAAGTGGTCTCTGTGACTCCAAATGGAAAAGCTGATGTCACTGAGGAGCACAGTAAAGGAAGTGATTGAAGTGCCCAGTGAAGCTTCCTGCAGGTGTGGCAGAGTGGAAACACTGACAGAGTGGGGAACTCAGACTCATTGAGCTCAAGGTATTGAGCACAGAGAGAGACATGATGATTCTAGCTCTCTCGTCTCCTCCACAGCTCAGTTGCTTAAATGTAGCTCTCCTTCCCAACACACACACCCCAGTCATTTTCTATTGCCCAGGAACAAGTTAGCAGAGAATCTTCTGGGTGGCCTGGGCCCCAGGGATCCCTGGGGAACAGCATCTCACCAGGGCATCTAGCCAAGGGTGTAAAGACGGGACGTCAGTTCCAGAGCCTTCCTGGGCTCCTTCAGGATGTGGAGAGGTAAAGAAGGCTTTGACAACAAGCAGGGTGAGTAACACAGGGCCTGGACACAATCCCTTCTGCACTATTTAGAAGGGAAGGGGCCTGCTCAATGAGTCTGAGTTCCCCACTCTGTCAGCTACCACCAAAAGGAGGAATCAGTGGGATGAGAGATGAGAAGGTGTCAGAAGCAGGAAAGGAGTGAGGAGGCCTGGACTTCCATAGATGGCAAGAACATGCCCCTAGATGAGGGAGAGTAAGGAAAGAGGCAACGTTCCTGAACACAGAGATTTCTCAATTCAGATCATTATTCAGAAACCTAGACTCTGTGACCAAGGGGATTCATACTCTTTGGTTTCTCTAAGTAGGGCAACTCTGTGAGGGTATCTTAAGATCCCATCTCAGGTAGCATCCTGGGGATGATCTGAATGTTTGCTTGAGATGTCACCTTTCGCCATGAGATTGTTCTTCATATTCTCTTGGATAAGAAGAGCCTTTAAGGAAAGCACTTGACTTGGAGGTAGAGGAAAGCAAACATGTTGAATCACTCCTTTTGACTCCCACAGACAACGTACAGTCATGGAACATTCTTAGAGTATTAAAATAAACATAAGTTAGAAATCATCCACATTTTTCCTCCTTCTTCTGGGAAGAGTTATGATTTTTAAATAGGTTTGACTCTTTTATGTCCTAGATATAATAGCAGAAAACCAAACCTGGTCTAATTTCCAGAGTTGAGAGATTTAACTTTAAACTTTCTGAGTCCATGGGAACTAAGAAACATGGTAATCCAAGCTGTCTACTAGAATGGGTATTTATAGAAAAGAAAGAAAACAAAAGCAAAAATTTTCATTTAAATACACAGAATTCATCCCTCATGTCAGACCTCTCATATCACTGTAATATTTACAATACATGAAAATGGATGAAAAGACAATTATCTGGAGATGAGAAAACTTAGTTTGATTGTACAAAGTGCCACAAATTTTTGGCAACTTGTCCTAAGAGGTACTGTATAGTCACATCTTTAAGTGTTCAGCTTCTTGTAATATGGAACCAAACTTAGCATTTTGATCCTTCTACCACATCCAGGAGAAATAGATCAGACAAATACCCAGAGTTACAGAGGACCTGCGTTTCAACTAGGAGACAACTGAGAGTTCTAGGATAACGCATTTGTGAGTCACTGGAGAACAGATAAATCAATCCAGGCTGGAAGAAAGGGAAATGTCACATTAACTTCAGCAAGATTTATCCTCAGATTGCCGAAAGTTAAATGGAGAATCCAGAACTTACCCTGTATTCTGATTTATGTTACCAATGACAAAGAGACTATTTTCTGGATTGACCTTACCTAACTTTAAATAAGACTGACTGAAAATAACAATTAATTTAATTAATCTGAAGGAGTCATTGATCTTTTCTGTATGCAAACTATACAGTAAAAGTTGTGAACATGTGCACTAGAGGAGGCTTTATTAAGGCTTGGGGTAAAGAGGAGTGGATTATATAAATAAAGAAATCATTATTCAATAATGTATTCACTTGCTCATCCATTGATTGTCCCTGAAAAAAAAAAAGAGCAGAGATTTGGAAATCATCAAAATCAGAACATTAGGATTGAATGAGGTTTCTGAAGAAATGTCACTTGAATTAGTAAAAAGAAAATAAAAAATGGAGAGGCAATTAGCATAATAAACGGCAAATAGTATGAAGAACCAAAAGGGTTATACTGAGTAAAGACAGTTTTAAAGAAATAGGAAAACACTGCATCTGCAGAGCCCTAAATCATGTCACCATGAAACATTAGAAGAAAATAGGGACTTCCAGCTAATCTGCTCCAAGCGGCCCACATTTTACCAATCTCTAGCATCTAGTATAATGCAGACAGTTTGAGACTGTTGAAAGGTTTAAGTGAAGTAGACGTGAATTTGAATTTGTACAGTCACATCTAGACTGGCCTGGAGGAACTCAACCTCTCTCTCTAGTTTTATTTGTTTTAAAATAATATTATTATTATTGTTGTTATAGCTATCTTTTTTAAGAAGATGATAATATCTACCTTGCATGATTGTTTTATAAGCAGAGAGGTATTATGTACAATCAGAAATGTGAAAAGTCTAATATCTGGAACATAGCATACTGAATGATTGATCCATTAGTAAATTTATTTGCCCAGCATCAGACAATAACATTAGTAGCATTAGTAGAACAAACTCCACAGAACATTGAAACTAGCCTAAATTTATGTTTTTTATTCATGTTTTAACAGGTGTCTTTGGAAATTCTAACTTTAGGGGAGAACCTCAGGCTCCTTGGGGCTGCAGCTTTGGCCCTCCCGACTAGGAAAGACAATGTTAAGTGATTTAGGGGGAGGCACATTCAAGGACAAAAGACTTTAGGAAGGATATGCTAAGGGGCTGAAGGAAATATTTGTCTGACATTCCTAAATTCTGGGAAATGTTGAGTCAATGGGGTGCAGAAATGATTCTTGTAATTTGCAGCCTGAATTGCAAGGGCATCCAATGACCCAGTCAATATTCTCTGGGCAAGACACAGAAAGACCCCACATCTTTGACAGTTCTTAGTGACCTGGTAAGAATCAAATCATCACTTCATTTACCAAAACATTCCTACTACCTATTTTCATCCTTACCCTGAAACTTTCTCATTGGTGGGACTTGATTACTAGAGAATGTCAGGATTTTGCCCTCAAATCTTACACAGACACACACACACACACACACACACACACACACACACACACACACAAGGTTTCTTTTGTTTTGTTTTTTGTTTTGTTTGGTTTTGTTCTCGTTTTGTTTTGCATTGTTTTTGAGACAGAGTTTCACTCTTGTTGCCCAGGTTGGAGTGCAATGGCAGGATCTCAGCTCACTGCAACCTCTGCCTCCCGGGTTTAAGTGATTCTCCTGCCTCAGCCCCCAAGTAGCTGGGATTACAGGCATGTGCCACCACGCCCAGCTAATTTTGTATTTTGAGTAGAGACAGGGTTTCTCCATGTTAATGAGGCTAGTCTCAAACTCCCAACCTCAGATGAACCGCCCTCCTGGGCCTCGCAAAGTGCTGGTATTATAGGCATGAGCCAACGCGCCCGGCCACAGTGGAGTTTTAATAGCTGTTTTATGGGGAAGGCTGCAGTTTTCATCTTTCTTTGATAGATTTAAGCATTTCTCTCCACTCACTTTAGTAAAACTGTTTTCCTTCTTTGTATACCTGGCAAAGTAATTGTGAGATTCCAATGACATAATTACTGTGAAAGCACTTAGAATACTGCAAAAAATATACTATCAGTGGAATAACAATAAGGACCAGGACAAAAACAACAATGTGATGATGATAATTATGAGTATTGATAGTGTGTTTTACATCTGAAATAAAATTAGCAAACACTTTCATTTAGTGAAGACACTGTATGTTAAAGTGAAAGCAGTATAAACTGTATAGTTAACAGCAACTAAATTCTATAATACAACATATCATCTTTTATTCTTGAAAATGCTAAGGCCAGGTATGGTGGCTCATACCTATAATGCCAGCACTTTCAGAGGCTGGGGTGGGAGAATTGCTTAATCCCAGGAGTTCAAGACCAGACTGGACAACACTGTGATACCCTGTCTCTACAAAAATTTAAAAAATAAATAATTAGCTAGGCATGGTGGCACAGACCTGTAGTCCCACCTACTCAGGAGTCTAAGGCAGGAGGATCGCTTGACCCCAGGAGTTTGAGGCTGCAGTGAGCTATGATCTTGGCACTGCGCTCTAGCCTGAGCAACAAAGCAAGACCCTATCTCAAAAAAGAGGAAAGAAAAGAAAAGTAAAGAAAGGAAAAGAAAAGAGAAAGAGAGAGAGAGAAAGAGAAAAAGAAAGAAGAAGAGAGGAAGGAGAGGGAGGGAGGGAGGGAGGGAAAGAAAATGCTAAGAGAGTGAATTTTAACTGATATTCCCCACAAAAATCATAAATGTATGAGGTAATGCTTGTGTTAAATAGCTAGATTTCACCATTCCACAGTGTACATATACTGGAAAACTTCATGTTGTACAGGATAAATACATACATTTTTATGTCAATTTAAAGAAATAAACATGAGAAAAAAACAAATTTTATATCTACCATTATCATTCATGTCTTGTTAACTAGGGAAGAGTTACGCTATCCCTTAAGACTTGAATTTCATTTGAGGGCTTATTAGTTAATGTCTGCACATTCCTGGAACAGTTAATAATAACAGACCAAGGGCTAGGAACAATGGAAAACAATTAATGAAAAAGCCTACACAGCATAAATGAATGTCTTTCTACTGACAGGCATCCTGGCAATGTCCTCCTATCTACTCAGATTGAAGAACTCACATCTCTCCAGAGCCTTCGGCTGCCTCCCTAGGATGCTCCCTTCCCAGACCTATGTCAACATCTCCTTCTTCCAACCGCCTGCTCTTCTCATGATTGGCATCCCAGGGCTGGAGGCGGTTCATGGCTGGCTCGCCATCCCCTTCTCCTCCATGTACACTGTGGCCCTCCCTGGGAACTGCCTGATCCTCCTGGCTGTGAAGAGGAACCCCAGCCTGCACCAGCCCATGTGCTACTTCCTGTCCATGCTGGCGCTCCCCAAAGCGGGCCTCACCTTGTCCACACTGCCCATCACCTTGGCTGTGCTCTGGTTTGACCACCGGCTCATGGGCTTCAATGCCTGCCTGGTCCAGATGTTCTTCCTGCACTCCTCTGTGGTGGAGTCCTCAGTGCTCCTGGCCATATCCTTTGACCACTTTGTGGCCATCTCCAACCCCCTGCACTATGCAGCTGTCCTCACAAATAGTGTCATCATCAGGATTGGGCTGGCCATTGTGGCTCAAGTTACCTTGTGCCTCTTCCTGTGCCATTTCCGGTTAAGAGTCTAAATTTCTGCCCTGGTGATAACATCCCATCCCACTCGTTCTGTTTCCACCCTGATGTAATGAGGCGGGCCTGTGCGGACATCACGATCAATATATGCTATGGGGTCTACGTGGTTGTTTCTACAGGGGGCTTAGACTCGCTGCTCATCTTTCTGTCCTATACCTTCATCCTGCACACAGTCATGGGTCTGGCTGCTCCCAGGGAGCGCATCTGGGCCCTCAACACCTGCGTTTCCCACATTCCGGCTGTCTTTGTCTTCTTTATTCCAGGTATCACCGTGTCCATGATCCACCATTTTGGGAGGCACCTGCCCCACATTGTACATGCTCTTGTTACCTATGTGTACCTGGTGATGCCTTCTGTGCTCCACCCCATCATTTACAGTATGAAGTCCAAGCCCATCAGGGAGGCCATCCTCAGGATGCTGATGGGGAGAAGCCAAGGCTGATGAAATTACAAAATATTATAGGGTCTGGGTAACATTAAAGAGACTGCTATAGCCTTACAGAAACCTGTTAGACCCAGCTAGCACTGAAAATCCCTAATCTGTGCTAAGATAGTGGGAAGCCCATAAGGCTTATTTATGTTACAAATTTACGTTCAGATTTACTTTGTAAGAAAGTAGTGATGAGGATGAAAGACTGAGAAATAAATGAAATGTGTTCCTTTGTCTCTGAAAGCTCACAAACTTGTGCCAGGAGAAAGGCAAGTAAAGACACAGCCAGACTATAAACCAATAAGTGCCATAATAACGTTCCTCTCAAAAGATTGCTAGAGACTACAAATTGGTCATTGACAGAACATTCCTGGGAAAGTGTGGCAAGCTTCCACAAAGAAGAGAATAATTTTTATTTCACCTTGAAAAACTTAGAATTTTTCTAGGCTAAGTAGGAATTAAATAAGAAACAGAAAAATCTAAAAAAAAAAGAGCAACGTGAAAAAAAGACTCCACGTTTTGAAAAAGGAAAAGTGTTTGTGAAAAGGTTTGCATTCCTGTACTTCTTTATGTCTCTACCGCTTATGTCTTTATAGGCGTGGCTGCAGCATAGGGTAAGAAGAGGGAATGGTAGGGGATGAAGAAGTAGGTGACCAAATTGTATAGGACTGTGCATACTATGCTAAGTTGTTTGGTTTGTATCTAGTACCTAAAAATCATTATATTTTTACTATAAGTTAGTAGTATAAATTGCAGATTAGAAGTGTGTTGGACATATGAACAAAACTAGAACCAGAAAGACTAATCAGTTTAACCTCTTATCTGGCCTCAGTTTTCCCAGATACCTTTTACACTGCCTGGAACATTCTCATTCCCCCCATGCCTGTGTCTCATTTCAAATAAAGTATAAACCTAATTTCTCAGAAAATCCTGTCTCATTAATTCTCCTTTCCAGATTATTCAAGGTACTATGTTTGCTTCCTGCATATATACAATAGTTTGTCATTCAACTAGATGGTAAGCCCCGAGGGGGCCAACATATACTCAGTGCCTAGTACTGTTGGTGGAATAGCAGATACTCAATAATTATTTTGAAGATTTAATGATAAATTATTTTGAATAGGAGATAAGGCAATGAGTTGTTTAATTTAAGATGTAATTTGGAGATGTTTTCCTCTAGGGAGCTTTTGGTCCTTCAGAGAAAAGAATACATGTAAATAATTGTAAACATTTGTGAGAAGGTTTTCAACTACGTTGGGTAGACAAACTGGAAGTGTAAGAGATGCAATACTACTGACTGACTAAATTAAGTATTCTCTCTTGGTAAAGAAAAGTTCCCTATTTTCTCACCCTAGGAGGTCTCCTGGGCCTTTTTGTTGGAAGTGATGACCTTCACACCTCAGTGATATAAGTACTTTGGCTCCATAAAGGGTTCTTGTTGAAAAAAAGAAATGAAAAAGGGCTTTGGGGCATACAATACTAAGATTTGTTTACGTGTGTCTGCTGGAATGCACCTTCTTACAAGGTGAAGTTGTAAGGACATGTGTATCTTTCTCTTCACCTGTGCCACTACCCTTCCTACTACTGAAGAAGGAATTCATGCATTTTACAAGTACAAAGACAACTGAGAAATTTTTACTTTTTCCTTTAAAAGCTAAGTGTAGTGTATCCCCCCCGTAGTCTAAGTTAGAGAAGAATACTAACTCCCTGTTTTTCCTTCTGTGCTCAGCCAGCCTTATCTGTACTCACCAGTTTCACATTCCTTGAGGCTCAGCAAGTTCCTGCTTCACCTCCTTAGCACAGCTGCAGAGTTACAAGGTTGATACAGAAACATGGTTTCCCAAGGATGTAGAACATGTAGTATAGATAAATGTAAAAAACTGATCAACTGCCTTTGTTCTCGCTTCTGTAAGTATGCTTCCTGCATCACGTAACTCCTGACCACCGACTGCTTAAAAGGTGGCTCCTTTCTTTGTCCAGGACTCATACTTTCCTGGACACTAGTCCTACTGAGCCAGGTGACCACCTTTTAATAAAGTCCTTTCCTGAACTCACTCTGTTGGGTCTCTCCTATCTCTGATTGTCCCACAACACTAAGTGTGAGGTCAATTTCACAGGATCTCAGTATGTAGTGTCTGAATTGGGTAATTAAGATTTTATGTTACAGTGTTTAAGAACACAAGCTTAAGAGTCAGGAAAACAAACCTTACTCAAACTCCATCACAACTGTCTCATTTGTATCAGCGATCTGACTTGAAGCATTTTATTCTTCATGTATTAACAAATAGTTCTTTTATTTTTTCTTTAGTGACTCCTGTGAGCCAGACACTCTGTTACATGATGGACAAGAACACAATGCTACCAAAACCAGACTTGATCCTTGTGGAAGGAATACACATTAATTAAATATGTTTACAAAGAAATATAAATTTGCAATAGCATTAAGCAATATCCATTTAGGCTTTTCTTCCACCAGGAGACTGTGCACTCCATGAGGGAAGAATTTAAACCACTTTTTTCTCCATTGCATTCTCAGTGCTGGGTTCACACTTATTTTAATAGCACTAAGAATGTATTTGGTGACTACATTAGTTTCCCATTGCTGCAGAGAAAAAAAAAAGCAGCTTAAAACAATACCCATTTATTAGTTCATATTTTGAAGGTCAGAAGTATGGGTGAGCTTCTTAGCCTTATGAGAAGTATAGCTGGGTTCTCATAAGGCTAAAATTAGTTTCAGCGGACTGGGTTCTAATTTGGGAGCCTTGGGGAAGAAACTGCTTCCACATTCATTTTGGTTATTAACAGAATCCAGTTCCTTGAAGCCGTGCCACTGGGATCACTTTTCCATTGTTCTCCATTGGCCTCTCTCAGCTCCCTAGGCTGCCCACATTCCTTCTCCCGCACTCCTCCATCATCAAGCCAGCAACAGCACATCACATCCTTGCCATGCTCTGAATATCTCTGATTTCTTCTGTCACCAGCTAGAGAAATGTCTTGTTTTTAAGGTCTCATGTGATTAGATCAGGCCCACGAGGCTGTAATCTCCCTATATGAAGATCCAGTTGTGCAATACAGCATATAACACAATCCCAGAAGTGATATCTCATAATATTCAAAGGTTCTGGGAACCAGAGCAGGACATTTCTGTAGGGCCATTTTAGAATTCTGCCTATGAAAATGACTAAATAAGTGAATTAAGAATAGATGGTTCTGGCCAGGGGCGGTGGCTCACACCTGTAATCCCAGCATTTTGGGAAACCGAGGCAGATGGATCACGTGAGCTCAGGAGTTCAAGACTAGCCTGGAGAACATGGTGAAACCCTGTCTCGACTAAAAATAGAAAAAATTAGCTGGGCGTGGTGGCAGGCGCCTGTAATCCCAGTTACTGGGGAGCCTGAGGCAGGAGAATTGCTTGAATCCAGGAGGTGGAGGTTGCAGTGAGCCGAGATCACGCCATTGCACTCCAGCCTGGGCGACAGAGCGAGACTGCATCTCAAAAAAACAAACAAACAAAAAAGAATAGATGGTTTTATAAAAGTACACAATAAGGGTATCTTACCTGCCCTAAGGTGTAAGGAATGACTTTTCTCAAGAAATGATAATTAAGGGGAGGTCTGAATGTTAAAAAAATAATAACAATAACTGGGAAAGAATATTTAGGGGAAGGAGTATTAGGCATAAAAAACCATGTCTCCATAGAGCTTGTAGAAGGAGGAAGTATGGTGAAATCAAGGAATGAAACAAAAGGCAGTGGGACTGGAAGTCAGTGAGCAAGGAGCCGGTGGTTGAAGAGAAGACTGAAAATAGAAATGGGCTCAACCAAAAAGATGGGAAATATTAAGGGTATTTTAAGCAGAGGAGAGAGTGGTTTTGACATGAGCACATTTGCCTTTGGAAAGATGGTTTTACACTGTGTTGCAGAGAATAGATTGAATTAAAGCTATAATGCATGCAAATTTACCACTCATAAGGCTATCGAAATAGTCCAGATGAATTTATTGTGGCTTGGACTAGGGGAGTAGTGGTACAAATAAAGAGAAATATGGGATCAAAGTTATAAAAGCAGTAGAAATTATATAACTTTATTTGGAATTAAATATGAAGGTTAAGAGAAGAAAAAGAAAAGGCCAAGTTTCACTCCTAGGTTTGAGGCTTGCATGTCAGAATAAGTGGTGGTGAGATTAACTGATATATATGAAACATGAATGATGAATATAATTGCATAAAGAATATCATGAGTTTGATTTTTGGACACTTTGAGCTTGAAGCATCCAAATGGCTGGGTTACACAGGCCATTGGAGCTATATGCCTAGAGCTCTAGACTAACCCGATAGTCTAGTCTAAAGATACAAATTATGTCACTGATATACAAATGGCAAAGTGAGTGGTGTGTGTGTGTGTGTGTGTGTGTGTGTGTGTGTGTGTATGAATGCATAGGAATTAGAGGCCATTAACTCAAATTTTATAGACCAGCAACAAATACAAGCATTAATTGTGTAGGAATTAGAGGCCTGATTAGAGGCCCTTTTACACCATATTCTCTCACCAAGCAGAGTAGAATGTATGTGCAAAGAAACTGAGAAGTATGCAGAGATATAAGAAGAAAACCATGAGTGTGATGCCACAAAGGGCAAAGGAAGAAAATGTATCAAGAAAGAGAGTGGTCAACTGTGTTAAATGTTGTTGAGAAATCAGGGAAGATAAAAACTAAAACCTCAGACACACAGAGGTTCCTGATGATGTATAGTAAAAGTTCTTTGGTAGTTTGACCAAGGCCAAAACTAAACTGGAATAATGGAAGAGTTATATGAGAGATGTGTAAGTGACGGTAAGTTACAGATAACTTCTCTAAGAGATTTGGCTATTAACGGGAAGAGACAGAAGGAATATGAGTTCAGACAGATTTATACTGGTTGTTGTCATTGTTGCTTTTAATATGGAAAGGGACTTGAACATGATAAATGCTAGGAATGATTCATTTGAGAGAGTGAGGTTGAATATCTATGAGGGAGAAGAGACAATAATGTAAGTTTCCTAAGTAGTTGGGATGGAAGTGATCCAAAGCAAATTAATAGAAACCTGTATGAGACACCGCTTGATGTCATAATGGTTAATAAGGACTTTGTGATACTTATGCTAGCATAAGGAAATATTTCCTTCTTTGATAAATTTATACCTCTTATGTAGGTATAAATATACCTCTTATGTAAGCATATAGGATGAAGAGCAGACTTTTCTGAGCCCTTCAGTTTTCAGTTATTATTTCCTTTAGTTTTCAATCTATTTATTCAACAACTATGAAATTAGTGTTTTATTTACAAGGCTAGAATGCTTTAAGAACAACAAAATCATTTTCAGAGACTTGACACAATAGTACTTTATTTTTCACTTATCCAACTGCCTCGTACAAATACAAGTGGGAGTTGCAAATGACAGAGGTTTGGCTCTGCACAGTTTTTTCAGAAATCCAGGCTTCTGGTGATTTACTCTGTGTAACACATAGCTTCCCAAGTCACATTTAATGTCAACATGAAAGGCTGCACATGGGAGGGTTTTATGAGCCAGGTATAGAAATTGCACATGTCACTTCCACTCACATTGGAAGTAATGGCCAGAATTTAATAATACCCAACTCAAAGAAGGCTGGAAAATTGCCTGGCTATGTGTTCAGGACAGAAGGAATCAGGTTTGATGAAAAATAACCGGTGTCAAGCATAAGCACTATTATGTTCTAGGCACTTTGCTGGGGGATTCAATGATGAGCAAAGAGCAGTCAATGATGAACAGAGATGACATTCAATAATAAACAGTGCCCTCATGGGCTTACAGTCCAGCAGCAAATACAAGTATTAAATAGGCATTTCCAAATATGATATCCATTACAAAAGGGGATGAAAGCATGTTATAGGAATCCATATCAGGGAACCTGAGGATTGAAAAAGAAAATGAAACTTACCACATATATGATCACATGTTTTAGTATTTGTAATTTGAGTTTCTTGGTTAACACTGTTGTCATATCCTGTTGAAGATGAAACCTATTAACCCTTGGTAATAGCCCCTCAGAAGCAAAAATGCCTGATTCCCATGCCTAAGTCAGATTGCTTTCCTGGTCTCAAAGTCCCTGTTCCATACTGCACAAAGCCCCAAATAAAGCATGGTCCTGAAGATTCCCTCACTTTCCAGCTACGAGTCACACTCAAAAGGCCAATGTTATCTTCAAGACCTGCCATTCCATACTTCCCATCATAACTGGTGGCTCCCTAACCTCACTGCCTATCAGAATCACCTATGGAACTTTTAAAAATAAATAACTTGCTATAAGCCCTATGCAGACTTTCTGAATAAGAATCTTCCATAATGGTGAACCTAGAAATCACTTCTTCCAAGACACAGGTAATTGGCAATTGGACCAGGACAATAAGCAATAGCTAGTGGGATTAAAGCCATGAGTTCTGTTGCCAGGAAATTCCTAAATACAACACTGGATGAGTGAGAAGAAATTAAATACCTCCTCTAGAAAATGTAAGACTCTGGAAATCTCTAACCCACTACCCTGTTGGTCTCTCTAACAGTTCTTCCACATCATATGAGATTGGGCATGAAGTCTTTTTTTTTTAATTTTTATACTTGTATGACCCCATTTAATTCACTGATCCCCACTGAACATCAATTTTCCCATGGCTACAATGAGGGTACTAATAATATCTTTGCCTAATTAAAGGGTTGATAAGAAAATTAAATAGGAAAAACAGGGTCCATATGCTGTGAAAACTCTCAGAACAGTGTGTCAACTTTCATTAACGTAGGTAAATGTACTCTTTTCAAGGCTTTACTTCCAATCTTCCCCTTAAGTGCTAGTGTCCAGAGGAAAAATTATTTCTTCTCTGTAGAAGTCATTTTGAAGACAGCATTTTTCTGAGATCCAATGTGGTTGGGAGTTCTGAAGAGGAAGTTATAGTTTTAAGCTAGATTATCTCATTTTATTATATTCTGTGTTTATTTTCCTTTGCCGTGCTTAGGCCTTTGGCAAATGTTCTCTAGATGTACCATTCTTATCTCAGAATGCTGTAAACCATCAGTAGAAGCAGTTTAGATTTGGACTGCATGGTAAAATGAAAAGTAATAACCCTCCAACCACAACCTAGTCAGGGTATTAATAATTATATGTAGCAAGAAAACAAAGAAGAAAATAATATTGAAAAAATGGAGATTCCCCAACCAGTTTCATATTTGAAGGATCTGAGTTGTATTTTTATTAAGGAAATTTTTTTTCTGAATACTGTCTTCCAAAATGTTAACATTAAAATCTGAATCAGAGGACTCTGAATGGAAAAGAAGTTTGATCACTGACACCTAGGGCTCTGAAGCGTGTGTGGCCACATGGAAAAGTCGAAGGATGCGCTGTCGAATCTCCTTTGTCTTCACTCCATAGACAATTGGGTTGAGCACAGGAGGAACCAGCAGATAGATATTGGCCAAGATGACGGGCAGCGGAGAGTCACGCCGCTTGCTAAAGCGATGCACCATGGACAATCCAATGAAAGGTACATAGAATATGAACACAGCACACACATGAGAGACGCAAGTGCCAAATGCCTTGGCCTGGGCTTCACGTGTCAAGCCCAACACAGTCTTAAGAATAAGCAGATATGAGAAGGAGATGAGAAGTGAGTCCAGGCCAATGGCGGAGATGATGACGATAAGGCCATAGACGACATTGACCCGGATATCATCACAGGCCAGCTTCATGACATCTTGGTGTAGGCAGTAGGAATGGGAAAGGATATTGGAGCGGCAGAAGGGCAGCTGCTTGATGAAGACAGGAAGGGGTGCCATCAGTGCAGCCCCCCGCACCACAGCAGCCACACCAATTTTGGTGACACGAGGCAACGTAAGTACTGTGGCATGGCGCAGTGGGTGACAGATGGCCACATAGCGGTCAAAAGCCATGGCCAGCAGCACTGTGGATTCCATGCCAGATAAGGAGTGGATGGCAAACATCTGTAGCAGACAAGCATCAAACTGGATGGTAGTGGAATTGAACCAGAAGATGGCCAGCATTTTGGGCATGGATGAGGTGGAGATGAGGATGTCAATGCCTGAAAGCATGCAAAGAAATATATACATGGGCTCATGCAGGCTGTGCTCAGTCCGCACAATGTAGATGATTGTCAAGTTACCTAGCACAGCAATAAGGTAGAGGGAGCACAATGGGAAGGCCAACCAGAACTGAGCCTCTTCTAAACCAGGGAGGCCTATTAGGATGAAGTATGTAGCACTGGATTCATTGCCATTGGGATCCACCATCATGAAGAAGCTGAACTGTGACCAGCACCAGGCAGGTAGAGGCTGGAATGCAAAGATAAGCCACTGTCAGATCCATAAGCATCCCAATACCTAACACCTGACTCTATCCTGATGTACTGTTCTCTAACTCAAACTCTAAATCCATTCCTTATGCAAATTCTAATCATATTCTAAATGCAATCTCACATAATCTAACATAATTCAAGAACCAGACACAAATTCATCCAGTCCTACTTACTAACCCCATCTGTATTGTTAATCCTGACAGCAAGTGAAAGACTAAGACAAAAATTTTAAGCATATGCCAAACCATTTAGTTCTCCAAAGAAAGGCTACTGGCTGAATATAAAAGAATCTTAGGTGATAAAAATATCTCACCATTTCCTCTATCCTAGCTTACCTTTATGCTTCCCTATGCTTAATACTAACTGCAATTCTAAGCATATCATTAGACTATCTTTAAGAAAAAATTCCAGTCCAAGTGTAACAACACTAGTAGTAACAGATTAATACTGAAACCTAACCCCAGCATTAATCTAATGATCTCCCCAATTCTAGACTTAACCCTAACTTTAACATAACTTAATATTTGACCTTTTAATAACCATTTCAATCTTAAAGATCGAATTGATGATATTCAAGTCACAATTCATATTCTATTTTATTATGATAAACCGTAATCCAATAAAAAACTGACACTAAATTAATCCTGAACTCTAACTCTACATTACCTTCTTGTCCAAATGACCACCCAAAGCTTTACACTTGTCCAGACTACTCAGTTTATTTCAAATAAAGAATGATGGCTCTAGTGGATACCGTTCGTATCCCAGCCAGACCCCATTCACAAAGCCAATGTAACCATCTCCCATCTGCACTGAGCATTGAGTGCTAAGGGCTCACAGCTCCCCTTCTTTCCAGAGGATTGTCCTTGGTCAAATGGGAGGCACCTCACCCAGGAAGGTTACACTGTGCCCCCATGATGCACATCTAGAGGCCAGTGGCTGCCTGACATAAGGGGTACCAAAGGTGAGCCCCATTGCCTCTGGGTGCAACAAACACTTTGATGCAATTTGTACTTCAGAGCTTCCCAAGGAACCAGCCTGAGGCTTGTCTCCAGCTGAGACCACAGCCCTGCTTAGCTTTCTTCCCCTGCCCTACCAGGATTCCCTCCTTCTTCTTCTCATGGCCATGTACTCCCTCAATATGTCATTTGGACAAGAACCCCCACCTCAGGTTCTGCTTCTAGGAGACCCACCCAATCTAAGAAAGTGAGATTGATACAACTAGAATACTAACCCTGAGGGGTGATGGCATTAGAAGCACTGGAGGCATAATCAATCCTATAGCAGAATTCAGTCTGCAAACAAACTGAATCTGACTATAAAAATGATTTGATATTACTGAGGTGGAAAATGTCAGACTTGGGTCATCTCAGATTGTATGTGTCTGTTAAGAGTGAACTGATTCCCTCCCTCCCTCCCTTTCTTTCCTCCATCGACAAATATTCATGTGCTCCTACTATAGGGTAGCCCTTATCTTCAATGCTTGAAACCAGAAGTGTTTCCGATTTGGGATTTTTTTTTTTGAATATTTGCATTATACATACCCAGATCAGCATCCCTAATGCAAAAATCTGAAATTTGAAATGCTGCAGTGAGCATTCTCTTTGAGCATCATGTTGGTGCTCCAAAAGTTTCAGATTTTGGAGCATTTCAGATTTTGGATGTTTGGATTAGGGGTACTCAACCTGTATTTATTAGATCATGTGTATTGTAGTTTTTACATAGATTTGGCCCTTGAATGTTTGAGAGCTGGGATAGGGGTTTCTGCACTGGTTACCAGAAAGCAGCTGAGCATAAGTCAGAATTCATGGCCAGCATCAGAAGAGGTCCCATGGGCTCAGGGTGTGTCACAAATCTTTGTACCAGCATCAAGCGGTCACCCAGAGGTTTCCTCAGACCAGATAGAAATTAGTGGGAAAACAATGGGAGCATGAATAGTAGAACAGAGGGTGAGAGAGTTTAATTCAATCTGCTGGGAAGGGAAGTTTTAAGGCAGAGAAACCATATTTAAGCTAGAACTTCAGGCAAAGGGCCGAAGTCATCAATGTCCCTTCTCGCTGCTGCAGCTTCTCTGCAGCATGTGGCACCAGGAGCACTTTCCTCCTTCTTAGAGCTTCTCCCTCTCCTTTCTGCTGTTCCTCGGCTCTCTCTAATCACTAATTATTGGTTTCGTTTCTGGATCTTCACTCTCCTCTCCAAAATTGCATCTTCAGTGCTCTTCCTGTTCTATATTCTCTTCCTGGGCCATCTCATCCCCTTCAGTAAATCCATTTTTGTTATACAAACAATTGATCCCCAAACCTAGTTAATGAACCCTGAATTCTCTTTTGTAATCCAGGTTCATAATTCGGAAGACTTACTAAAAGGGTTCACCTAATTGTCTTTCAACTACATCAAACTCTCCATGTTCAAAAAACAAACTCTTTCAGAGGCAGTATTATATAGCCATTGAAACTATGATCTTTGAAATCAATCATGCATTCTAAACCCAGTCTAAAACCTCTAGAGCTGTATGATCTGGGGTAAATCATTTAACCTTTCTAAGCCTCAGCATCCTCATCATTAAAATGATTATAAGAGTCCCTGGCTAATAGGGGGTCAGTGTGAAGATTAAATGAGATGATAAATGTAAAGCACTTAACACAATACCTCACACATAGTAAGTATGCCAAAAATAATATCTGTTGCTGTTAACCATTTTCCTCCAGTGTTTCTTTTTTTCTGTTATGGTGGCGTGAACCATCATACAAGCCAGGTTCTCTGATCCTGACTGCCACGTCTCTAGGGTAACCTTCCTCATCCACAAAGTCCCAACAATCTAACCAGATGAAACCAGCTCGCTCCCTATTATTTTAAAAAATACCCTTGAAACTCCAAATTGATTCTAGAATAAAGACTAAACTTCTTATGACATGGCTAAAGATCTGACTTTCATCATCCGGGCCTGGGTTCCTCCCTCACCACTCCTCACCATGATCCCTATGATCTAGCCACATTGAAGTTCATGCTATTTCACAAACATAGCCTTGATTCCCATGACTCTGTGTCTTTCTGTCTTTTTTTACTTCTCATCCCCTTGTCAAGAAAAACTGTTCCTCCCAGATCTTCCTCCTTGACTTCCCACACTCATTGTTCACATCCTGGCTTACTGTCTCTCTCCTATACTATTTTTCCTAAGCCTTTTTTACCTAGGCATAATTAAATGCTTACTGTTCTGTGCTCAAAAAGAACATTATTTAGGTCTTTTTAAAGTATTTACCCTCTTGATAATAGTAACTATAATTATTGCTATATTTTCCCCTGAATTATGAGCTCCTGAACACCAGGAACCTTATTATATTTATTAATTGTTTAGTTAATGTTTTGGAAGATGAAAATGAGTTTTATCAACAGGAGAGTCTCTTAGTATACATCTAGTGAGGGTAACACAGCCAAGGGCATAGTTAAGACTGCCTGTTATCTGTACTAGAGAGACTTTTGAGAAGGATGAGATGATGTTTGGAAGGTCAGTGCAGAGTAATTTTAATTTTGTAAAAATAATCTTTAGGGTCAAACAGAAAAGTCCTTTCTTACCAAAGGAGCTGGAGGGCCAGAGAAATATGTATTAAAAAAAACAGAGCAGCTGCAAGGTCTTGGTCCTAATAAATGCAAAGTGGACATGCAGCACAATTTGTGCCTAAGAGCAGGATAGACCTAAGATCCCTCACCTGGAAACACTGGCAAGAAGGTTCTGGTACTCCAGAGGGTCAGATATCCATGCTATCCATCAGTTTTACATAAACAGATATGGCAGAGCAGGTTGATACTCAGGATTTAAAAAATGTGCTGTCTTAGGAAACACACTGGGAAAGAACTCTGGCTGGGCATATGCAACACTATTGCCTCTGAAGGTAGAGTGATGTGGTGAGCAGAATCCTGGGGCTTAGAACACAAGTCTTGGCGCTAAATAAATGCAGTGAATAATAATAACTGCATAGTGCTGCTGTGAAATTGTATGAGATAAGGCATGTCTAAAGAAATTGTAAAAACCAAATCGGAGTACACATAGTGCATTGTTTTCCACAAAAATGGGCAACAAGGTCTCTGAAAATGTATGAAATTTCATATACTTTTCAATTCCCCAAATTTGTCACCTTAATCACCACTTGGCCTGTATGTACACACTCATACACACACATATTTACTAGCAGTCAATTTCTCACAATAGCAAGACTGGGCACTGATACAAAGATACCAGAAATCAACAAAAGGAAGATTTAGCTGGCCTGGGAAGGAGGTGCCTAGGCAGTATAAAATGGGCAGCTATCGCTGGGGCTAAAATATCAGCCTGGACCCCAGAAGACTACAGCAGGAGAGAAATGAATGGATGGAGAAGGAGCCAGCCAGAGAGCTCAAGTGCCACCGTTCAGACTGGCCAGCCCTGAAGCGTCCCAATGTTCAACAGTCCCTCCACGAGACAGGCAGAGTGACCAGATGACTTCCAGGTGGCCTTCCAGCTTGAGCAGCTGTTAGTAATTAAAACTCAGTGAGATGGTTTTGAGCTCTGGAGGAACTTGGAACTAAATTATTTTGAAAATAAGGCACAATCAAGAAAAAATAAACTAACAAAGCATTTTTTTTTTAGAAAGCTCACACACTGCTCTAATCCCCAAGGAATAGCCCTGTGCTGAGATTTTCTGTGAATAAGTTGAACTATCTTAGCAAGTTCCAGGAATGTTTCTTCAGGAACTATGAAGGACATCTTAACCTTTTCTCAGGAATAGGGGAACAGGAGCTCCCAGCTGTAAAGACTGGAAATCCACGTGGAGGCCTTCAGTCCTCTCCCTTCCTTCCCCCGGGCTTCAGAACTCTGTCTCCTAATGCCAGCCCAGCCCCCCTCACCAGCCCATCCTCACATTCTTCCCTAGAACTCCTTCTCATAGACCCGTGAAAAAGCAGTCAGAGAGATAAACCAGACAGCAGGAGAGAAATGAAGGGATGGAGAGGAAGCCAGCCAGAGGGCCCAAGTGCCACCCTTCAGACTGGCCAGCCCTGAAGCATCCCAATGTTCCATAGTCCCTCCACAAGACAGGCAGAGGGACAGAAGACTTCCAGATGGCCTTCCAGCTTGAGCAGCTGTTAGTAATTAGAACTTAGTGAGATGGTACTCCAAAGGTGTACCATTAGCCTATTAGCCCTATCTCTTCTGACCCAAGAGAACAATGAGGTCACCTTTAACCCTGATTTTGTTGTTTTTATAATATGAACATAGATTATTGAGCACCTACAAAATGACAGAAACTATACAGTGCCATCTGTATAAATATTATCTCTAATCTGGGAACAGCTCTGCAGAAGGTGAGGGTGTTTAATTCAATCTGCTGGGAGGGAAAGTTTAAGGCAGAGAAACCGATTTAACCTAGAACTTCAGGCAAAGGGGCCAAAGTCATCAACATCCCTTCTTGCTGCACCATGGATCCTCTCTATATTATGGGTGAATACTATGGATCCTTTCTATATTATGGGTGAGAAAACTGAGGCTCCAAGACATTAAATAACATAACCAAAGTTTAACAGGTGACTGGTAATGCAGAAACTTAACCTAGATAGTCTCATACCAAGGCCTATACACTTTCCCTCATTCTAGGCTGCCTTTAATTTTGCTGCACCTTCTGAAAGCTAATAAAATCCACCCAAAAGGCAAGGTATAAGAAGGGCTTGGTAAGTAGCACAGCTGCCCTGGGTATACTCTTAGAAGGGAAACCAAGAGGGCTGCAAAGAAGACTCTTCTGCACTGGAACTTGGGACACTCACCTCCTCTTTCAGCCCTAACTCCAAAGGCTGTGAGGTGGGTAGGCCCCACAATGGAGATTAAAAGGCTTGTCCTCTACCACGTATTTCCTTATTATCTAATTAGAGCCTCTCATCCACCTGTCAAGCAGATATCATTAATCCCATTTGACAGATAAGGATGTTGAGGGTTAGTTAGAGCCCTTAGTGCTAAATCCATTGCTTTACAGTAGGCCAAGCTACTGCCCTACCCCTCCCCATGTCTCCTTAAGAAGGGACTTCGCTTTGTAAGCACTATTTCAATATTAATCTCTCAGGAATCCAACACTGATGACCCATGAGTCCAGGGGCCCCTCTCGGACTCAGGACACATGACCAGCTCTCCCCACTTAGGTTCAGTGTGGAAGGAGAACCAGGAGGAGATTCATTGTCAGTGTCACTATCTGGGCTAAACACACAGAATGTTTCATGCCCAGAGCAATGGAGTGAGGGCCTCTGGCGCTGCTGTCAGCCTCTGGGAATATTTAGAAAAGAATGTCCCTGGAGAGAAGCCCAGACATACCTGGGAGCCTCTGGCTCCTCATCCCAGGCACAGAGAGGGAAGGCAGACCTCAGGGGCAATGCTGTGGCTGGCAAGGACTGGAGGAGCTTGTCACTTGATTCTTAAATAGAGTCCCTTCCCTAACACTTAGTGAGGGTAGTAGCCCCAGCATGACTTCCACTCAAATTATCTGCATCCACTGTGCCCCACACCTTGCTTGTATTTAATAAAGCAGATGAACCCTTGCAAGGTGTTGGTCACTCTTCTTAAAATGGCCAAGATGAAAATGGAAAGATGAGAGAGAGCAACTTCTAACTCCCAAAAAGCCAAGTGAGCCCTCACCCCACCCTGGTCACTCAAGTCAGCCTGACCACCTAAAATCACCCCTAGGCAGAGTTCCTAGGTTTCAGGTCTCTGCTCCTCCACTTCCTGAGTAGGACCAGATAAGTGTTCTAAAGATCTGCAAAGCTGCACCTAGTTACCAGTTCCCTGTAGAGCTATTCTGGCTGCAAGCAAATGTAAGGCAAGGGAAATGCCCAAAGTGGGATTTTGATCAGTGTACTCATTTTTTCAATAATCATTGACGGACTTCTGTGCCAGACTCCACTGAGTACCAGAGATATCGTTCCAGCCTTCCAAGGATGGGGAGAAATTGAGACAAATATGCAGCCATCACAGCACATTATGATAAATTCTGGGACAAGGGGAAGCAAAAGGGCCTCAGAAGCAAAGACAACAATAGCTCAGCAAGCTTTTTAGGTTCCAAGGGCTTCCCTGAGGAGGTGACATTTAAGCCATGGCAGTGGCGGGACCTGCTGCAGGCAGGTAATGGGGCAGTGACACAGGCAGTTAATGGGGTGGGGCACAGCAGCATTCGGTTAGACAACAAAAACATATTGAGTGTCAAAAACTGGAGATGAAACAGTAGATAAATCAGACAAGATGATGGCTTTTATGGAGCTCATATAACACGAGGCCAATAATGAGAAGTAAACAAATAAAATTTCAGTTGAAGATAAGGGCACGAAAGAAAGAGTGATAGGACAGAGGAAGATGGGTGCAGGACACTCATACTGGAGACAGGGGTCAGAAAAAGCCTCTCTTAAGGATGTGACATGTGATGAGAAAACACCAGCCATTCTAAGATCCAGGGAAAGTGCATTCCAACTGTGGGAGACAGCAAGAGAAAAGCGTCCCCCAGCAAGAATGATATTGGGGGATTCATGGAACAAAAGGAAGGTCAAGGTGGCCAGAGCATCAAGAGCACAACAGAGTTTGAGAAGATGAGGCGGGAGGAAGGCAAGGACCTCATCAGGTAACAGGGTCTTGCAGGGTATGGCAAGGAGCTTTGGTTTAATTCTGAGTGACTTGGGGGAATTTCAGCAACAGAACTTATCTAGTTTGTTTTTAAAAATACATCCTGGCTAATACAAAGAGCCAGAGAGAAAGAGAACAGACCTTGTTTGGAAAGCTGAAAGTGACTTAGTGTAGCTAGGGTAAAGAGTACAAGGCAAGGGGTGTTGCCGTGTGGACACTAATCTACTTTTTAAATGGGCTGAAGACTGAATCCTGATCCTAGACACAGACCAAGCTGAGATCGGAGCCCCAGGAAGATTACTAAGTCCCAGTCTCAGCCACAGCCTGACTCCTGATGTACAGCATACAGTGAAACCAACCTCACTCAGAGCCCCACTTCCACCCCAGCTGCAGCCTCATCCCCAGTCATAGACTGAGCTTCAACCACGTTCACCCTGTTCACACACCAAACCCCGACCCAACCCCAATGCAGCCCCAGTCTAACCCCAGCCCAGCCTGTCCTCTGTCCTCTGTCCTCATTCACATCAGCCCCTGCCAGCCTCCAGATGGGCATACTAGTAAACTAATCACTGAAAAACTGCTTGAAAACTACCCTTAGGCTACCTCCAGCACCCACATGCTTTCTGTTCAGCACACAAACCTAGAGATCACTAAGGCTGCCTGTCCTTTGAGTCAGGGGCTTCCTACACATCTCCCACTTCTGGTTCTTCACAGCCTGGCTTCTCATGCACTCAGCAAGTCTAACAGGAGACCCCTAGCTGCAAGTAACCCATGCACCTGGACATGCCCCTGGCCTCCTGCACTCACCTCAACCGTATGGAAGGAATGTGTGACCCCCTTTGTCCAGTCTTCCTCCAGAAGAGGTCTGGCAGGCTGCACTGAAATACAGCCTCTCTGTCTCCGCCTACTCCCTTGGACCTCCCTGGTCAGGGTTATTTATTCTCTGCCTCACCCTCTCCCTCCTTCTGCTTCTTCCTGCAGGGTGGGGCAGAATGCTGTCCAAAGGGTACATCAGCAGGTACCCCTCACTAGCCCACTGTGGTTCTGGACTGCTTCTCAGCTTCCGTGCCCTGGGAGGATATGCCTGGGGGTATGGGGAGGAGAGGCAATGGGGAAAGGGATCTCTAGAGTCCTCCCCTGATGGGCTGCTGGGATCCTCATGCCAACTCCCAATGTGAAGGATAGATAGGGAAAGTGAGTAGAAAAAAGCTAGAAGAAACTCATTAGTGTAGTCTTCGTGACGGTCTTTATCCAAGTCTCTTCTCAGGTTTATCAAACTCAAACAGGAGAATGGCAAAGGAAGTTTGCAGAGACACTCCACGGTTAAGTGTCAGCCCATTTCCATCCTGAAGTGTTCTTTCTGTCCTCCCTTCTCTCATTTGGGGGACACTGTTTAGGTCCTTGCTAAGCGTGGAATTCACTGGGTCCATCCTCCTTTTCCCAAAGCCCTAGGGCTACATCTTTTTTTGTCTCCCAGGCTCTGGTCCCTGTGTCTGGATAACTTATAACCAAGGTCCCCAGGGACAGTGCCTCTGCCGTCCACTCTCTGGCCTTGGATTACTGAACTTCTGGCTGAGGACAGAGAACGTGGTTTCTTTAACCCTCCCCACCCCCAACACCAGCCACGTAAGACCAATGACATCTGGTTTCTCCCTTAAGGGCAAAAATAGTCAGAGAACATTTTAGAGAGTTAGAGAACAATTTGAATGTAAAACTAAATACCTCGTATTTTGAAATAAGTAAAAACTACATCTATAAATAGAACAACATGGTTTTTAGTTGGTCTCCCCTTATTTTTTACTGATCAGTTTCACAACTGTGAGTTTTAAATTCAGAACACAGGACACGCTAAATCAAGCTATGTTAAATAGATCATGGCAAATCAGACCATTCTAACTCAGACCACATCAAAATTACTGGTGACAACAGTTTCTGGTGCCTACAGAGCACGCAGCCTGACACTTGCTATCAGAACCCTGGAGCCATCTCTGCTGCCTCCATTAACCTCATTAACTTAGACATGGCAAAGACTTTAAAAAATACCAAAGGGACTTCTACTTCCATCCAATATGGAGTAACAATGAGACATGTGGAAGGACAGTGAGACATGAGACAAGGTGAATAATGAGGTGAATGCTACAGTTTTTTCAGCTTCCTGCCTTAAGGGAGTTTCCATGCGGCAACAGAAGGGAGATTGACTGGCTTCCCCTCCACCCTTGCTTTCCCAGAGGGATTAGGAGAAACTCCCTACAACCAAGGCTTTTTTTTTTTTTTTTTTTTTGACACAGAGTCTTGCTCTGTCACCAGGCTGGAGTGCAGTGGCATGATCTCGGCTCACTGCAACCTCCACCTTGCGGGCTCAAGCGTTTCTCCTGCCTCAGCCTCCCAACTAGCTGGGACTACAGGCACGCGCCATCACACCCGGCTAATTGTTGTATTTTTAGTAGAGATGGGGAACCAAGGACTTTTATACATGTTTGGCAGATAAGCCAAAAAGGGAAGGGAGAGGTGAGGATACCATGACTTGCTATTGAGGCAGGAGGGCAGGGTTTAGGGAGGCCAGTGCCTCGGATAGCAGAGGCAGGAAACGTAGGAAGAGGTAACAAAAGCCCTTGAAATCCTTGTGTTCAGGATGAAGAAGGTGTGGTCTGGCCTGTGAAAAGGTGGAGCAAGGAAGCACCGTGTTTCCTTTCATTCTGACAGACTGAGCTATCACCCAGGCTGACCCCAGGCCGAGAAACTGGGCATCTTAGAGTCATGTCACTCAACTTTGGAAATTATTTCTGCTGCTCACAGCCAGACTTCTTCAATCTCCCTCCTCCATTCCAAGATACATACAGACACCACACATCAATCCATGCTCAGAAATACAGATGCTGTCCCCATTCGTGTCACATACACACCCAACACACAAAGAAAGTTTGCCTTAAAACATATACACTAGACATATGCACGAAAATAGCATCAGTACCAACAATATGCACACAGAATTCAGATGTACATTTCACCGACTTACAACTAATAACACATATACCGCACAAAATGGTTTTACATCTCAAATATTATGCACAGTGGACATACACCCAAACACGCTGAAAGATACAGGCATCCCAATACTACACATTCCACACATTCCACACATTCATGCACCACATTCACATAGTACAAATAGGAAGAAAAGGTAGAGGCAGCATTCTTACCAGATACACATAAAGGTACTGCCCACCATGCAGATACAGACACCAGCATTCTCACGTAGACACATATCATATACCAACTAACAGATACCACAGAAATACAAATGCGCAATCAGAGACACGTCTCATGAAACATACATGTGCCAGGACATAGCTACCACACTCACCAGGACACAACCAGTACGTATTCCATGTGTGCACCCTCTCTCTCACATATACGCACACTGAAAAGCAAGTGTCCACATAAACACACCCACACATTCACACCCACAACCAGAATACATGGCACCCTTATGGACAAATAGTCATATAGAGCCATACAGATGCAAATGGGCAGATTTCACAAATCTGCCAACACACCCTCTTGCATACAGAAACTTCAACATTGCATGTGAGCTGCCTCTTGTCTTGTTGCTGTCTCTCCAGTTACTATTCCCCAAATACCTTCATTAACCCCTGATTATGGCTGGGTAACCACTTTAGGGTATTTGCAATAACGTTTATAGTCCATGCAAATTCACCAACATGGGCACATGGGGGCAAGAACATTAAAATCATACTTCAAAACTGGAATGAACCATGAGGTGTGATCTTTACAGCCTCCCCATGTCAAAACTAGATGTATTTTCTAGCTGAGAGAGAAGGAGAAGGCAAGACCACCATAGCAGAGGGACTAGTGCAGTCATTCTCCAGGATGTCCAGACAGGGTCATAAGTTCAGTACTGACACATTCCTGGAGACAGAATACATGATCTACTTAAATTGCTGGAAGAAGACAGCACAATAGGTTTGATACTTTAATCACCAAGGCATTCAATAGGATCCTAATATTCCCATCTTCTGTAGTAGTAGTAGAAGCGAGACACTAAGGTGTCTCACTTGCCACCTTGTGAGAACATACAGAGGACCCTTGAACAGATCTCTTTGGTCTTGGCTCCATAGACAAGGGGGTTGACTACAGGTGGTAGCAGCAAGTAGGTATTAGCCATAACCACATGGAGGAGGGAGGTGGGACCACCCAGCCTATGCACCACCGAGAGCCCAATGAGGGGTACATAGAAGACCAGAACAGCACAGAGGTGGGAGATGCAGGTGTTGAAAGCCTTGAGTGCTGCCCTCCGAGAGGACAGCTCCAAAACAGCCCACAGGATGAGGATATATGAGAAGCCAATGAAGAGAGAGTCCACACCCATGACTGAGAGGATGATGAAGAGTCCATAAACCACATTGACCCTGGTGTCAGTACAGGACAGCTTCATAATATCTTGGTGCAGACAGAAGGAGTGTGTGACAGTATGTGTTTGGCAGTAGGACAACCACTTGAGGATGAAGGGCAGTGGGAAGAAGAATACAAACCCCCTGGTCAGGGCAGATAGTCCAATCTTGGCCACAGTACACCCTGTCAGCACAGAAGCATGGCGCAATGGGTGGCAAATGGCCACAAAGCGGTCAAAAGCCATGGCCAGCAGGACAGCTGACTCCACGGCTGACAGAGCATGGATAAGGAACATCTGGGCCAGGCAAATGTTGAACTCGATCTCCTGGATGCCCATCAGGAAAAGACTGGCCATCTTGGGCATGGTGATAGAGGAGAGGACTAGGTCAATAGTGGAAAGCATGGCCAGGAAGAGGTACATGGGCTCATGCAGTCGCCTCTCCACACGAATGATGAGGACAATGGTCAGGTTACCCAGGGTGGCCAAGGCATACATAAAACACAGTGGGAAAGCCAGCCAAAAGTGTATGGTAGGCCCCAGGCCAGGGATACCCACCAAAAGGAAGTATGCTGCGTGGACCAGATTTCCATTTGAAGTGGCTATGATAGGGACCAAGAGCTGGGGCTTCTGCATACAAAATCCAGGGTCTAGGAAAGTAGAAAGGGAAAAGTAGAAACATCATTTAGTTGTGGCTCAGAGGAGAGAAAGGACTAATGAGGAAAAGGCATTGGAGTGGTGACAGTAACAAACAGGACTAAGTCATCCTGGTAATTCTGAACCCTAGTCTCTCTCTGCTCTGATTCTCCTTATATACAACTTCCTGGACATCTTGAGCCTTACCCTGACCCTCCAAGGCCCCAGTGCTGCACAAGCAGATTCTATTACTGTCCCATGAATCTCAGTGTGTGAAGACCCACTCATAAAACATGTAACACAGTCCTGCATCTTCAGAGCTGATGTTGCTGCCCAGGGCACTGCTCTTAGCCTTTTCCCATCAGAGTAGACTTGCAGGATTGCTCAGAATGGTCCACATTGACCAGCTCTTCTGATGTATCCTGGGGTTAGGGTGGGTCTGGGTTCAGATTTAGAGGCTCAGTCTACAGCTGACTTTAAGACCTACTATAATCTAATTTAAGATAGGGAGCAGGGGCTCAGTCTGGGATGAGATTTCAAGAGAGGTTTGTGTTTAGGCCTGAATACCATTTCTCAAACTTTCCTGATAGAAACATCTAAAGTAATTGACAACACCATCCCTCCAGGTCCTGCTCCAGGCCCAGAAAATCAGAATTGCCAGGGCAAGGTTTTGGAAATCTTTTTAAAAAACAATAAGCCCCGCCAGGTACAGTGGCTCACGCCTGTAATCCCAGCACTTTGGGAGGCCGAGGTGGGCAGATCGCAAGGTCAGGGGTTCGAGACCAGCCAGGCCAACATGGTGAAACCCTGCCTCTATTAAAAATGCAAAAGTTAGCCAGGCTTGGTGGAGCGCACCTGTAATCCCAGCTACTCAGGAGGCTGAGGCAGGAGAATCATTTGAACCTGGGCGGCAGAGGCTGCAGTGAGACGAGATCACCCCCACTGCATTCCAGCCTGGGTGACACAGCGAGACACCAACTCAAAAACAAAACAAAACAAATAAACAAACAAAAAACGATAAGCCCCTTTCCCCTAGGAAATTTGTGCTTTAAATCAGAGAACTTTGGGGAAAGTTGTTCTGGTGTTCTTGGGGGCAGGGAGGTGAATGAAGAGGGACTATCATTTCCATTTCCAGCTCCCAAACGAACAATAAGCAGCATCTGCCATCAAGATCTCTCAAGCCCCAGGTGAGAGTCAGTCCCAGGTTGCGCTCAGCAAGAGGAGCATGTCATGGAAATCAGATGCAGCTGAGACATGAACAGAAAATCAGCCAGTGCTGCTGCTGTTACTCCACAGTGTTCACAGGCACACACACCTCTCCCTCCACCTACTCTCCCTGGTGATCACACAACGTCCCAGGCTCAACTTCTTTCTCTCTACAGACCACACTGTTCTAAGCCTGTGTCCTGAGATTCAGCCATATAACCTACCGCCTCCTTGATAGTTCTACCTGGATAGCCTATGGGCCTCCCACTCATCTTGCCTCTAACAGGGACCCCTTCCAAACCTGTTCCTGATCTCAGAGAATGCCACTGCTCAGAACCCACATCACCCAAGTCAGGGCAGCTGGTCTCATCTTGACCCGTCTCCTCTTTCACCCCCACATGCAATTCAACTTTTCCAATTAATTATTGGGGCCGTTCCTCTTAATACACCTCCTCCCAACTTAATTATATTATCCACTCTGCCCTGATTATAAAAAGAGCCTTCCAACTTACCTCCCTGCCTCCAAACCTAGTCTATTCCAAACCACCTTCCACACCACTGCCATCTAAACAGCAAAACTGGACACCTGGGGCTCCTGCTGAGCAAGTTAGGAGTGATTCCCATAGCTTTCCAGATAAAGTGAGAACTAGTAACTCCACAGTATGCAGACAAGGCCCTTCACAGTGTTCCTCTAACTCAACTTTCCAGCCCAGCTTCAGTTTCCTTCTTCATCACCAATCACCACCAGCACCACCACAACACACACGTGCACATACACACACACGTACACACTCACACACATTTTTTTCCTGGTAAAGTAATTCCCCTTGCCTTGCTTAAGTGAAGAGTAGGAGGCAGGAACTGAGGAGTCCTGTCCTGGGACAAAGGATAGGCAAAGCTTGGAACGGGTCTCACAGGCTTGAAGAAATTCCTCTGTGTAGGAACAAGGTCCAGGAACCGGGCTACTGTGATCTGGAAAAGGTGTACACTAGAAGACCTCTCCAAGCAGCCAAGCTGACTGATCAAGTCCCGGCTTCCTTATGCAATGAGCCTTCTGTGCCTGTCTCTGCGGACCCTCCCGTTGCCTAACCTCCCTGGGCTGAGCCTGCTACACTCACCACCAGTGCTTCCCCAGCGCATGGAGGCCGCCCAATTATAGCTTCTCTGGGGCCCCTCAGGAGTGTGTAGAGTGATGGAGAGTGAACGAGTCGGGTCTCCCTGGCACTGACGCTCTGCTCAGACGCCCAAGGAAAGCTGAGCCCTGACTCCTACCCAAAGGGACTGAGCTCTATCACTATCCCTCTGAGCCCAGCTCAAGAGACTAGAGGGAGGCTGTGTCGCGGGGTGGAAAGGAGAAGAGGAATAACGGGGCTGGAAGAGAGGACCTGCTGGAATGGAGGGGTGGGCACTCAGCAGAAAGCACGCAGGGATACCAGCGCTCCGAACACACTAACTACCCAAGGGGATCGAAGCTGTGTCAGGGACTCTCGCTTCTTCATGCTGCCACCTTGTGGTCGCACAGGGGATCTTCAGCCTCGTGGCCGTCCCTGAGCAATGGCTCTGAGGATGATGCCTTTAAGAACCAAGGACCCAACTGACTCTAGCATCTGAGCTCTTTCCACTACTCTGCGCTGCCCCTTAGCTCTCCCTCTCACCCTCTCAAGCCCACCCTTTCTTCCTTGGGTCGCTAATCATAGATGTCCTGTCCCTCCAGAAATGAGACCGTGTGGCATGTTTGTTTGAACATGGGGCTCTAGAAGGAAACAGACTTGGGTCCGCCCATTTATTAATAGTATGACTACTATAAGCATTTAGTGTGAAAGCATTTAATGTGAAAAACGAAATGAGATACTAGCAAGTCTCCAGTGAATGTTTGTGTTCATTATTACTAGTCAAAACAAATGGAAGAGCCAAGGACGTAGGAAATCCAGTAGACAGTGCCACAAAAGAGACAGGAAAAAATATATTGACAAGGAAGATTGGTCAGCAGTTCAGAAAGCTGCCGAGAGATCAAGCAGTGAAAAGACTGAAATCAAAGGTCACTGGCTACCTGGATAACAGGGTGGGGGATGGAATCTTGAGTGAAGCAGTGTGAGGAGTGTGTTAGGAAGAGATGAAGAGAGTCGATGTAGACAACCCTTTTAAGATATTTGTACGTGAACAGAGGAGTGAAATGGACAATATTGGGAGGATTTATAGCTCCACAGAGATTTTAAAATGTGTATTTTGGAACTAGAAGAGACTAAATGTCAACAGGATGGAGTTGGCAGAGAGACTCCTTGTCCTTTACTCCTCACATTACTGGTAGCTATGGCCCAGGAAGATAATCTGTCTTCCCCCTCTATATAGTAACTATGAGTAATCTTACTTTGTCCAGTAGCTTTCATCACCCAAGCAGGCCAGACCAATCTCCTAAACTCCAAATATGGTAAAGTCTATTGGACATAGGTGTCCTTCAGGCACCTCAAACTCAACACCTAACTCATCATTTCTAAGCTCATTGATTTCATTATCAACTAAGCTCATCATCTCTGCTCTTCAATCCGGACCCCGCTCCCTGTCTGTTTTATGTTCCCTGTCATATAAATCACTCTGTTGGCCATGTCAAAAATTTAGAAATCATCATCCCTGCCTTCTCCCCATCTCTCTCTCACCTTCCTCTCCAACCACATCCAATCAGTCACCAAGTTCTGTTCATTTTATCTACTAGATATCTATTTTGTGAGTCTGATTATCTTTCTCCATCTTTTTTGCCTTTTCTTCATTCCAAGCCAAGACAGTCTTTTGCCTAGATCATCAGAATAACTTGTTCACTGGTCAGACTCACAGAAGAACTTCCCTACCAATCTGTTGTCTATGCTGTGGCCAGTGTGATCTTCCAAACACATATCAGTTCATGGCAATTCTCCATTGCCTTTAGAATGAACAGTTGAATTCCCCATTGCCTGTAGAATGAACACACTCCTGAACCCAACTCATAGGAACTCCATAAGCCATCTCAGTGCAACTCTCCATCTCCATCTCCAACCATTTTACCTCCCTTTTTGCATACATAAGTCCTATTGGACCCGAAATATTTCCACATCTTCAATGTGCCATGCTCTCTCTCACCCTTCAGCCTTCACATATATTTTTCCCCTGGTAAAAACACTCATCCTATTCCCAGTTTTAATTCTTAGCCTTTTCTGTTTAAACACCCTTGCTTAGAAAGACTTTTCTTGACCCCTAATCTTGGCGGGACCTCTTTACCCTTTTTCTCTTTGTTTTACTGATAGCATTTAACGTTGTGATATTATTTTTCATACTTATGAACATATCTTCGTATCTTTGTAGGGAGGGTGGACACTAATGTGTATGTATAAAAGGAAACGTGAACAGAGTCCTCTTCTATCCACTCTTAAGGCAGAAATTATTGGTCTTGTTGATCTGCACTCATACCTCACAACTCTATGACTTCAACTGAGGCATGTTTAATGGGCAGGCCGCTTAAATTATTATTAATATTAATAACATTATGTACCTAGTTGGCGTAATTTCCACAGGCACTTTTCAAGCATTCATTTTTTTTTCTCTTTTTACAGTATTAAGAATAGATCTTATTAAGGTGACCCAAAGTATGACTTTAAAAATAATAGTTTTCCCTCTACTTATATTTCAATATTTTTTGAAGGAAAGAAGGGAGGAAAAATCACTCAATGTAAATGGAATGCTAAAGGTCCAATGGATAACGGAGAGCTTTGGCCAAACATATACTCATGGCTTAGGAGGTCCTAAAAGATATGAACTTGCCTAATTCGACAGCCCCATCTCATGACACCTCAACTCTCCCTCAATACGGCCCTGCATTGGCATCTTTCTAGTTCCTTAAATAAAGTTCTCTATCTGTACACCTTCTTCTAAGCATTTGCTCAAATGCTTGTTTTATCTGGAATGGTCAACCTCTTTGTTTCCCTCCTCTAAAAACTAACATTTATTTAGATTCTGTTTTAGGTGCTATTTCTATAAGAAGGTCTTTCCTGTAAGATGTTTTCTTGTTTCTTTAGTATCCAAATTTCATTTTTAGATGACCAATGCCATTGTTTTTTGTTACGAGATAATGATATGTGTGTCACACACAAATCCCTACAACCTCCCATGAAAAGAAAGAGTGTAATGGTACCTAAAGATAAAAATGATTCCTTGTGTTAATAACCTGTTATAAAGCAAGAAAAAGAAACATGATATGAGAGTTAGAAAATGAAATTAGTCATTATTTGTAGATTAGTGATTGTATATGTAGAAAATCCAAAAGACTGTATTGATAAGTTATTAGAAATGAGTATGTAAAGATTGCTGAATACAAGGTCAACTTACAAAATTCCACTGTATTTCTTTATAAAATTTTTAAGCATTTACAATAACAGAAAAATCAGATGTCTAAGAGTGAATCTAACAAAGAATGTAGAGGAATTTCTGCACAGAAAACCACAAAGCATCCTTAAAAGACACTGAAGAAGACCTAAATAAATGGAAGAAAACACTATTCTTTTTAACTGGAAAACTCGATAATGTGAAGAATCTACTTAGCCCCCAAATTTTTCCATAGAATCAATACATTCCCAATAATATCCTAATTGGTGATTGTGTAAAATTTGGTAAGCTTGATTAAAATATACATAAAAATGTAAATTGCCAAAATTAGCCACAAAACTCTAGAAGAATAGGACAAAGTGAGATTTTATATACTAAATATCAAAAATTTAAAAACTATAGTAATTATGCATATGTGGTATTTGTTCAGGGATAGACAGTTGAGCCAATGAATGGAAATAAAATTTCAGAAGTATGCCCACTCATACACAGCCAGTTGTTAAATGACAAAGGTAATTCTGTGAGGCAATCAGAAAAGGAGAATTTTTTTATTAAATGATACTACAATAACTGAATATCCATATAGAAGAAAATAAAATTTGAACCCTAAATTCACACTACTTATAAGAATTAAATCTTTGTGGTTTTCATATATAAGTACAAAAGGCAAAGCAATTAGCCTTCCTGAAGTAATATAAAAGAATATTTTTATGACCTCAAGTAAAGATTGACTTCTTAATGCAGTTAATTCATCCATGAATATTTATTGAGTGCCTAATATATGACAGGTACTCTTCTAAGTGATGGAAACACTTTAATGAACAGAACAGACAAACTCTCCTGCTTTTGTGGAGCTTACATGCCAGCCAGTATGATTTAGCTTTCCTCTGTAGGTATATCTGTCTAGATGCATGCCAGATAGTTTTTTTTTTCACTTGCAGTTTATAAATTTCATTAGGAATTATCTAGAAATAGATCTTTTATTTTATAAATAAGTGAGCATGGCATATCTCCAAATGCTAGTGAAGATGCAGAGAAACAACCTCTAATGCATTGCAGGCGAGAATGTAAAATGGCACAACTACTCCGGAAAATAGTTTAGTAGTTTTTTTTTATTAAATTTTAAGTTTTGGGATACATGTGCAGAACATGCAGGTTTGTTACATAGGTATACATGTGCCATGGTGGCTTGCTGCATCTATCAACCATTATCCAGATTTTAAGTCCCACATGCATTAGGTATTTGTCCTAATGTTTTCCCTCCCCTTGCCCCTCGCCCACTGACATGCCCGGGTGAATGATGTTCCCCTCCCTGTGTCCATGTGTTCCCATTGATCAACTGCCACTTATGAGTGAGAATATGCAGTGTTTGGTTTTCTGTTCCTATGTTAGTTTGCTGAGAATGATGGATTCCAGCTTCATCCATGTCCCTGCAAAGGACATGAACTCATTCTTTTTTATGGCTGCATAGTATTCCATGGTGTACATGTGCCATATTTTCTTTATCCAGTCTATCATTGATGGGCACTTGGGTTGGTTCCAAGTGTTTGCTATTGTGAACAGCACTGCAATAAACATACATGTGCATGTGTCTTTATAGTAGAATGATTTATAATCCTTTGGGTATATACCCAGTAATGAGATTGCTGGGTCAAATGGTATTTCTGGTTCTAGATCCTTAAGGAATGGCCACACTGTCTTCTACAATGGTTAAACTAATTTACACTCCCATCAACAGTGTAAAAGTGTTCCACATGCTCTCCAGCATCTGTTGTTTCCTGACTTTTTAATGATCACCATTCTAACTGGTGTGAGATGGTATCTCATTGTGGTCTTGATTTGCATTTCTCTAATGACCAGAGATGATGAGCTTTTTTTCATATGTTTATTGGCCACATAAATGCCTTCTTTTGAAAAGTGTCCATTCATATCTTTTGTCCACTTTTTGATGGGGTTGTTTTTTCTTGTAAATTTGTTTAAGTTCCTTGTAGATTCTGGATATTAGACTTTGTCAAATGGATAGATTGTAAAAATTTTCTCTTATTCTGTAGGTTGCCTGTTCACTGTAATGATAGTTTCTTTTGCTGTGCAGAAGCTCTTTAGTTTAATTAGATCCCATTTGTCAATTTTGGCTTTTGTTGCCATTGCCTTTTGTGTTTTAGTCATGAAGTCTTCGCCCATGCCTATGTCTGGAATGGTATTGCCTAGGTTTTCTTCTAGGGTTTTTATGGTTTGGGGTTTTACATTTAAGTCTTTAATCCATCTTGAGTTAATTTTTGTATAAGGTGTAAAGAAGGGGTCCAGTTTCAGTTTTCTGCATATGGCTAGCCAGTTTTCCCAGTACCATTTATTAAATAGGGAATCATTTCCCCATTGCTTGTTTTTGTCAGGTTTGTCAAAGATCAGATGGTTGTAGATGTGTAGTGTTATTTCTATGGCCTCCGTTCTGTTCCTTTGGTCTATATACCTGTTTTGGTACCAGTACCATGCTCTTTTGGTTACTATAGCCTTGTAGTATAGTTTGAAGTCAGGTAGCATGAAGCCTCCAGCTTTATTCTTTTTGCTTAGGATTGCCTTGGCTATACAGGTTCTTTTTTGGCTCCATATGAAATTTAAAGTAGTTTTTCTAGTTCTGTGAAGAAAGTCAAAGTTAGCTTGATGGGAATAGCATTGAATCTATAAATTACTTCGGGCAGTGTGGCCATTTTCACAATATTGATTCTTCCTATCCATGAGCATAGAATTTTTTTCCATTTGTTTGTGTCCTCTCTCATTTCCTTGAGCAGTGGTTTGTAGCTCTCCTTGAAGAGGTCCTTCAGGTTCCTTGTAAGTTGTATTCCTAGGTATTTTATTCTCCTTGTAGCAATTGTGAATGGGAGTTCACTCATGATTTGGCTCTCTGTTTGTCTATTATTGGTGTATAGGAATGCTAGTGATTTTTGCACATTGATTTTGTATTCTGAGACTTTGCTGAAGTTGCTTATCAGCTTAAGGAGTTTTGGGGCTGAGACAATGGGTTTTTTTTTTTTTTCTTTTTTCTTTTTTTCTTTTTCTTTTTTTTTTGGCAGAGCTAGCTGAGGTTTTATTTTGGACCAAAAAAACAAAAACAAAAACAAAAACAGCAATGGAATTGTTTTGTAGCTGGAGGCATGGGCAAAGGGGTTTTCTAAATATACAATCATGTCATCTGCAAACAGAGACAATTCGACTTCTTCTCTTCCTATTTGAATACCTTTTATTTCTTTTTCTTGCCTGATTGCCCCAGCCAGAACTTCCAATACTATGTTGAATATGAGTGGTGAGAGAGGGTATCCTTGTCTTGTGCCAGTTTTCAAAGGGAATGCTTCTAACTTTTGCCCATTCCATATGATATTGGCTATGGGTTTGTCATAAATAGCTCTTATTATTTTGAGATATGTCCCACCCATCAATACCTAGTTTATTGAGAGTTTTTAGCATGAAGGGGTGTTGAATTTTACAGAAGGCCTTTTCTGCATCTATTGAGATAATCATGTTGTTTTTGTCACTGGTTCTGTTTGTGTGCTGGATTACACTTATTGATTTGTGTATGTTGAGCCAGCCATTCTTTTGCATTTGCTGAGGAGTGTTTTACTTCCACTTATGTGGTCGATTTTAGAATAAATGCTATGTGGTGCTAAGAAGAATGTATATTCTGTTGATTTGGGGTGGAGAGTTCTGTAGATGTCTATTAGGTCCGCTTGGTCCAGAGCTGAGTTAAAGTCCTGAATATCCTTGTTAATTTTCTGTCTCATTGATTTGTCTAATATTGACAGTGGGGTGTTAAAGTCTCCCACTATTATTGTGTGGGAGTCTAAGTCTCTTTGTAGGTCTCTAAGAACTTGCTTTATGAATCTGGGTGCTCCTGTATTGGGTGCATATATATGTTTAGGATAGTTAGCTCTTCTTGTTGCATTGATCACTTTACCATTATGTAATGGCCTTCTTTGTCTCTTTTGATCTTTGTTGGTTTAAAGTCTGTTTTATCAGAGACTAAGATTGCAACCCCTGCTTTTTTTTTTTCTTTTTTTTTTTTGCTTTCCCTTTGCTTGGTAAATATTCCTCCATCCCTTTATTTTGAACCTATGTGTGTCTTTGCACATGAGATGGGTCTCCTGAATACAGCACACTGATGGGTTTATCCAATTTGCCAGTCTCTGTCTTTTAATTGGGGCATTTAGCCCCTTACATTTAAGGTTAATATTGTTATGTGTGAATTCGGTCCTGTCGTCATGATGCTAGCTGCTCATTTTGCACATTAGTTGATGCAGTTTCTTCATAGTGTCATTGGTCTTTACATTTTGGTATATTTTTGCAATGGCTGATACTGGTTTTTCCTTTCCGTATTTAGTGCTTCCTTCAGAAGCCTTCCTTCAGGCCAGGTGGTGACAAAATCCCTCAGCATTTAATTGTCTGTAAAGGACAATGGAACAGAATAGAAATTCCAGAAATAAGACTGTAAAGCTACAACCATCAGATCTTTGACAAACCTGACAAAAACAAGCAATGGGGAAATGATTCCCTATTTAATAAATGGTGCTGGGACAACTAGCTAGCCATATGCAGAAAATTGAAACTGGACCCCTTTGTTATTACCATATACAAAAGTCAACTCAAGATGAATTAAAGACTTAAATGTGAAACCCAAAACTATAAAAACCCCAGAAGAAAACCAAGGTAATACCATTCGTGACATAGGAACAGGCAACTATTTCATACAAATACCAAAAGCAATTGCAACAAAAGCAAAAATTAACAAATGGGATCTAATTAAACTAAAGAGCTTCTGCACAGCAAAACAAATAATCGACAGAGTAAACAAACAACTTACAGAATGGGAGAAAACTTTTGCAAGCTATCCATCTGACAAAGGTCTAATATTGAGCATCCATAAGAAACTTAAACAAATTTACAAGAAAAAACAACCCCATTAAAAAGTGGGCAAAGGACATGAACAGACATTTCTCAAAAGAAAACATACATGTAGCCAACAAACATGAAAAAAAGCTCAACATCACTGATCATTACAGAAATGCAAATCAAAACCACAATGAGATACTATCTCACACCAGTCAGAATGGCTATTAATAAAATATCAAAAAATAACAGATGCTGGCGAGGTTGTGGAGAAAAGGAACACTTTTATGCTGTTGGTGGGAATGTAAATTAGTTCAACTATTTTGGAAGATGGTGTGGCAATTCCTCAAAGACCTAGAGGCAGAAATTCCTTTTGACCCAGCAATCTCATTACTGGGTATATACCCAAAGGAATATAAATCATTCTATTATAAAGACACATGCACATATATGTTCATTGCAGCACTATTCACAATAACAAAGACAAGGAATCAAACTAAATGTCCATCAACAGTGGGCTGGATAAAGTAAATGTGGTACATAGACACTACGGAATAGGATGCAGCCATAAAAAGGAACGAGATCATATCCTTTGCAGGGACATGGATGGAACTGGGGGCCATTATCCTTAGCAAACTAATGCAGGAACAGAAAACCAAATACCACATGTTCTCTCTTATAAGGTAGCTAAACGATGAGAACACATGGATATATGGGGGAAACAACACACACTGAGGCCTGTTGGAGGGTTTGGGGTGTGAGAAGGGAGAGGATCAGCATAAGCATATCTGACTAGTAAACCCAAGCAAAATTGTCTCAATTATTTTTAATACTGACAATTCTGAAGACATTCCTAAATAGGAATTTTAACAATAATTTTAAAACTAGCTTTATTTGCTGTATGTTATCTTAAATCACATAGAAATATCATATAAACAGACAGAGGCACATCTTATAGCTTTCATTAAGATGTTTCATTTGTCAACTTCCAAACAGTTTTTATTTTCCCCATTCAGACTATCAGTCTTCCAATGGCTTGTTTCATTGCCCTACGCAACTGTTAGCTAGGCAGTCCTAAATTTGCACTTCTAAAACGATGACTCCTAGGTGAAACAAGGTGGAAAATTTGTATCTTAAAAGTACAGAGCTGAGACTTCAGACCTAAATATCCTACCATCATTTCCTCAAGCCAAAGAAAAAGCATGTAGGTAAAAGCCCATTTAAGACAAGATGGCCAGGAAAAGCACCTTAAACAAAAGTAAGACTTGTTATGTAAATGAAATACAATGGTAAGAATTTCTAGTGGCTCAGTCCTTCCTCTCTTTGGTGTACAGAGGCAAACACCCTCACAAATGGACAGTTCCTTTATAGATGTAAATTTCTTTTCAAAAGCATTTCAAAATATCCACCTAAATGCCAAAAGGTATATTTTGAAGACTGATTTTGTTCCATAGGTGGTCATTTTAACTTAGCTTCTGTTTTTTACCTAAAATTACTGCATTTAGGGTGAAGCCCATTAAGGAATAGTGCAAAGAAAGCATTTGCTATGTGTAGACTCATGCATAGCTCTGAAAAAAAAACAGGAAGCCTACTTTACCTGAGGGTCTACCTTTTACAAACACTTTATCCAGCTTTCTCTTCACCTTCAGGGCAGGGTAGTAACCAGACTAAAAGGTTAGAAGACTTAATTTTTCTTATCAATTAGTTGCTTAAGCTTTTTGTCTTTTATAAAGACTTTTCTTAAAAACAATAAAAACAATGAAATCTTTTTAGAAGCATCTGCACATCAATAGGCATCCCTGGATGAGCCTAATTAGACAGCTCTAATTTTCAAATGCACTTTTCAAAATGGAGTGTTGTTCATTTGGAGCTTTCTATTATAATTTTTCATTATTTTTAGTAAGATTTTACGACTTTTGTCAATGTGTGCTGCTTCCCGGGCCTAATACTTAATACTATAGGTAAGTGTCGCTAGAAGATGGAGTACTCAGTTCTTCAGTAATTAAGCATCCCATTTTTACATTTATTCTTGGCTTAATTCTCAGATCCCCTTGATCAACTTAGCCAATGATTTTTTCCCTACCTAAAAGCACAAAAGAAATAGAAGATACAAATCCCTGCAAATTTTCGAAAGCCACAGTTTACACCCCCTGAGGTACTGATACAGGAGTTAAGAAGGAATTACTTAGGCAGATAGCAAGGGAACCCCCAAATCATTTTCTAACAAAGAGCAGCCTGCAAGCTGGGAGCTTGCATGGGTGAATGCCGCAGAAACTGAGGACTAGACATTTTCATAATGGTGGCTCCATCTTCCCTTCTCTGCCAGCCGCGTGTATCCTAAGGAGCAGACCAGATGGGGCTGATAACTGAAAAGCCCATTTGCATAAGATTAGGGTAAGGTGACCAGCCTTCCCCATGTGCCATGTAAATGTCATACCTAATTGAACCAATCTGTGAGCCCTACATAAATCAGACACCACCTCCTCATGCCAGACTAAAACAATCGGTGCATTCCCTGCCAGCTGGTGTTTTTTTCTTCTCCATCCTTTCCGCATGGTCTTTTCTGCTTGGAGAACCCTTCCTCTATGGAGGAAGCTGTTCCTCTTTCTCTTCTCTTCTACCTATTAAACCTCTGCTCCTAAATTCCACCTGTGTCTGTGTCCTAAATTTTCTTGGCATGCGACAACGAACCCCTGGCATTATTCAAAGGCTTCTGGACTGAACCCAGCCTCTGACAGTCCGTCCAGGTGTTGGTAAAGGATCTCCAGCTATCCTGTCACAAAACTTTCCTTTCTTTTCTATCCATGGTCATTATGTCTACTATGCTCTCCGTATATGCAATGTGCAGGAATTTTTACAATTCAGGGGAACAGTTCTGTTAGGAAAGATCGGCAAACATGCAGTAACTCAATAAACGTCTTTACCGTTTCTCTGGTGAGTACAAGGTATTACTAGGCCAACAGCGCCACCTAGTGGAAACAGAAATCCTCTTCATGAGGCACATTGTGAGTCCTATGCCATAAACTGCGGTGTCCCAATCCTGGCTTTTCGCACTGCTAGAAAGGCTTCAACTGTGAATGGGAAAGCTCTGCCTTCAACAATTAGGAGCAAAATGTCCTCTGTAGCCAAATTTTAGCCTCAATACTGTCCCATCAGCAGATAAATGGCCATTCAGTCCCTATGTTCTCTTAAGGCACCTATTCTGCCTCCAATTAGAGTGGTACCTAACTAGTAAGGGGATTTTAAGTTTGGAAGTTAGCCAAAACCATTCTATAAAGGTAAATGCTTCAGCACCGGCCATAATAGCAAGATACAGAGTTTAATCTAGCATGCCCCCCCCCCGCCCATTAAAGGGGCCTTGCCCAACTATTACATAGTTTTTCTTGAGATCCGTTTTTCAGGGAGCCAGGCGGCTCACACAAGTCTAGGAAGTCAAAAGTCACCCAGGACTAGAGCCACCTGGGTGAGCATGACTAGCCCTAATTGCTTAGTTCCTCTGGAGTGCATTCTGAAGCACAAGGACTTCTGTGACCCAGAAACTTTAACAAAAATGTGGCTCATTTTCTTTTGCACAAGGGCATGACCTTTTTACTAGACCTCTGCAAGCATTGCAAAATAAACCCAGCTCTTTTAGCAATCATATCAGGCAGGTCCAAAAGAAAATAATTCTCTAAAATTAGAGAAGCAACTCCCAGGGGAACTATCTGAGGCTCCCCTTTATTTGGGGCCCCTTCAAGTTCCCTTCTCATTACAAGATCTTAGACAAATAAAGGGAGACTTAGGTCAATTTTCTAACGACCCTGATAGGTATATAGAAGCTTTCCAAAATTTAACTTAGGTATTTGACTTCTCATGGAGGGATGTTATGCTGCTTCTAAGCCAAACCCTAACCACAGCTGAGAAGCAGGCAATTCTGTAGGCAGCAGAGAAATTTGGAGATAAGCAATATGTCTTCTATAGCAGGCCTAAAAGGAAAAGCGAAAATAGAATGCAGGCCCAGGACCCCATAAGCCTGCTGTTCAAGCCAGCCCAACAACATAATCAGTAACAAACTTGACTACAGGCCTCCATCTTGTTTCAGGTCCTTGGGAACATGACCTGGAACCACATGGCAATACTTTGTTTTAGTCTCCACCATTTTACAATGGTGGCTGTCTTCTTGTGCTAAGTCAGTTCCTGGGTGAGGACCACACAATCAGATAAGCCAGTTTGTCAATCTAGGTGGTGCCAGCTGATCCATCAAGAGCAGGGTTTACAAAATATATTAAGGACTAATCTTGAGAGCAGTTAAGGGAGGGTCAGAATCTTGTAGCCTCAGCTCCATGACTCCTAGGCCATGGTTTCTAATCTTATGGCTAGTTTCTTGGTCTGCTCCCCAGGCAAGAGGTAAGCCTATCTTAAGAAGGGGCTGTTACCATCTTTGTTTTAGACTATAAACTATAAACCCAGCTCCTCCAAAAGTTGGTTTGGCCTATGCCCAGGGATAGGCAAGGATAGCTTGGGAGCTGGAAACAAAATGGAGTTGGTTGGGTCAGATCTCTTCCACTGTCTCAGTAATAATTTTGCAATGATAGTTTTAAAAGCTGCCTATCACCCCTTTGAAAACACCATATACACTTGAGGTTAAGTCATAACCTAATTAAGGCTTGTTGGTTTCACCTGTGAGATTACTTTTTGTAACGTTCAAAAGCTGAAAATCTTAATTGCTTCGCATGGCTAAAGTCTAGTAACAAGAGATTTAAAAGGATTTTCTTAAAAAGCTCTCAGCTTAATTAAAAGTGGATATTCAAGTTATAGGTATATTTAAAAGGCCTTTATGTTTTTCTCTTCTTGGATCTTGTCTTTCTGGAAAAAGTTTTTTTTCTTCTCAGTCAACTGAATTATTTTTCTCCATTTTTTGGCTTGCCACTCTTAATGCACACATAAGACGCCCTAAGATAACTTCTGGTAGCATGGAACTACGAGGCACCACAGACCCTGTTTTGGGAAAAAAAAAAAAAAAAAAAACCCTGTTTTCCTCGTGAAACCACAGGAATTAAAAGCAAATAGTTTAATCTGTAAGAAGTAAAAATAGTCTTAAGGATTATCGGTAAAATGCAAGTGTCATCAAAATGCAATAGGTGGTCTAAATCATTCAATTTAGATACTAGGTTTGCTAAATGGTTCGAGGTTGTATACTGCCTGCTTTACAGTTAGGTAAGGCACAGGGAGTTAGAATCTGGAAAGAGACAAGCCTTATCTGCACTTCTGTCTGGGTCCTAAGCGCCACACATGGCACATAATTAAAATCGCTTACTAACCAGGTTTTTCACCAAAAGTAACGGTTGCTAAGAGTAACAGAGCAACATGATCACTAAATAGTTTTATATGAAAGGCATATAAAAACAGTAAAATGTGTCTTTAGTAAAAGATTATAGGAAAGAATGGAAATGTTAATTTTGCCCAGGGATGAAGGATTATATTAAATTTGATAAGACAGAGCTAGAGGTTTAAGCAAGTTATAGAAAGATTGTAAAAATTAATCTTGCAAAAGTGTGTAAACATTAATTCAAAAGGATCTTTTGAATATATGGTCTTTTCATAAACTGAGCATCAAAATAAAAGCACAGCAAGGTGGTCTTAAGATGCTTATCTGGCCTTTAGCAAAAGGGTTGTAAAAGGTTTGTAAAGATTTCACCTCATGGTCAAATTGGTTAAGGTTAGATGGAATCATCTATAAGGTTTCATTTAAACAAATTGGGGCTGGGCATAGTGGCTCATGCCTGTGATCCCAGCACTTTGGGAGGCCAATGCAGACAGATCACTTGAGGTCAGGAGTTCAAGGCCAGCCTGGCCAACATGGTGAAACCCCATCTCTACTACAAATACAAAATTAGCTGGGTGTGGTGGTGCACACCTGTACTCCCAGCTACTTGGGAGGCTGAGGCAGGAGAATCACTTGATTCTGCCAGGAGGCAGAAGTTGCAGTGAGCTGAGATTGTGCCTCTGCTCTCCAGCCTGGGTGACAGAGCAAGACTCTGTCTCAAAAAAATAAAAAATAAATAAAATTGGGTTAACATTAATAAACTAATGCAAGGGTGAAATATGGCTTTAAACAGGATTTTCATGTAATAGTAATGCTACTGAAAGGTTTTTGCCTTTTGAGTCATCATTTTGGCAAAATAAATAATTTCTAGCATTCTGGAATTCTACTTCATAACATCCAGTGTTTTAAACCTCTAGCATTTAACAGACATCCCAAAATCAAACCTCAAGTTTCAAAATTGTCTTTCCTGCTGCCTGGCTTTCTAGATGGCTCAGAGGGCCCCTGAAACATCCATAGAAGAAGTAAACAGGATTATTTGACATGTTTAGTCACATGAGATTTCCAAAATGATGTCAAGTCTTCTTTAAGTCATATTCTGGTGAATAATACTAATATATGTTCCAAAGTTGTATGAGATTTCTAAAATTCTAATGTCTGAATATATGCTATCAATCATAATTAAGGGTAAAGTTATCACAAGCCGTGGAGATAACTAAACTTCTTTGTCAGTCATGTTTTTAACTGTAACTACCATGAAAATGTTGTCATTTGCAGACAATTGTTGTCTCGCTTTGTTCCTTCTGAAAAGATGGGCTATAGTCAAGCTATAAGACTTTAACAGGTGTTCTCAAATCAGGTTTTTAATAGCTTTGAAGATTGTAACATTGGAATAGAGAAAGAACGTATGGGACTTATGAAGAACTGAAATGTTCATGAATGTCAAGCAAAACAAGAAGTAAATGGACTGCACTCACTCCGAAAGTTAAAGCAAACTTTTTGACTTTTGCTTGGAATATTTCTGGTCTTTTTTTCTGCTCAATCCTTTCTGCTTGCTCTTTTCTGCTCAGAGAACCCTTCCTCTATGGAGGAAGCTATTTCTCTTTCTCTTTTCTTCTACCTATTAAACCTCTGCTCTTAAACTCCTCGTGTGTGTCTCTGTTCTATATTTTCCTGGTGCGTGAAAACGAACCCCAGGGTATATACCCCAGACAATCTAGCCAATTCAGTACTGCCATTTCCTGCCAGGTTCTGTCTGATCCACTCAGATATTCAAGGCTTCTAACTAGATCCAATCCAGTTGATTATCAGACCCAGTCTGATCCTTCACCCAGTCCAGTTTCCGTCACAACTTCTGAGCCCAATTCAGATAAAAAATGTGCTCAAACTCATATAACTCAAAACACAAATCCACAGAGCTTTAGAATTGGAGCAAGAATATACCCATGAGCCCCATTTCCCCACTTGCTGTGAGGGAGCAATGGACACAACGGGTCTGACGGGTACCTCACTGGGTCAATTCATGCTCCTGGGGATCACTGAAAGCTCGAATTTTAATCCCACTTCTAACACCATCTGTTAGAAGATAAACTTAAGACAAATTTAGTAGAGTTCAACTGAGGAAAGAATGATTTCTGAATTGTGCAGCCCTCAAAACCAGAACAGGTTCAGAGCAACTCCAGGGCTGCTATATGATCTAATATTTATGTAGAGGAAAAGGAAAGTGACATAGAAAAAAATGGAAGTGAGGTGCAGAAACAGCTAGATTGGTTACAGATGAGCATTTGTCTTCTTTGAACATGGTAAGAACAGTTGAATGCCTGATATTTGTAAAAAATAGCATACATGTGGTGGTCCATTTTCAATTCTAAAGGCCTTGAAATAGGTTTAAGCAGGCTACAAAGAAACCAAGAAGCAGAATGTACGAAGCCATCCCCTCTTCTTGCTTTCCCCTTTCACCCAACAGCTAGGCACCTGTCAGTCAGGCCCCCACTTAACTTCCCTCTCCCACCTCACCAAAGAATTTGGTTTAGGCTAGTTTACAACCTAGGTAATTATACCCTTTCTTTTTTTTTTTTTTAATTATACTTTAAGTTTTAGGGTACATGTGCACATTGTGCAGGTTAGTTACATATGTATACATGTGCCATGCTGGTGCGCTGCACCCACTAACGTGTCATCTAGCATTAGGTATATCTCCCAATGCTATCCCTCCCCCCTCCCCCCACCCCACCACAGTCCCCAGAGTGTGATATTCCCCTTCCTGTGTCCATGTGATCTCATTGTTCAATTCCCACCTATGAGTGAGAATATGCGGTGTTTGGTTTTTTGTTCTTGCGATAGTTTACTGAGAATGATGGTTTCCAATTTCATCCATGTCCCTACAAAGGACATGAACTCATCATTTTTTATGGCTGCATAGTATTCCATGGTGTATATGTGCCAGATCCCTGAGGAATCGCCACACTGACCTCCACAATGGTTGAACTAGTTTACAGTCCCACCAACAGTGTAAAAGTGTTCCTATTTCTCCACATCCTCTCCAGCACCTGTTGTTTCCTGACTTTTTAATGATTGCCATTCTAACTGGTGTGAGATGATATCTCATAGTGGTTTTGATTTGCATTTCTCTGATGGCCCTGTTTGCAGACGACATGATTGTTTATCTAGAAAACCCCATCGTCTCAGCCCAAAATCTCCTTAAGCTGATAAGCAAGTTCAGCAAAGTCTCAGGATACAAAATCAATGTACAAAAATCACAAGCATTCTTATACACCAACAACAGACAAACAGAGAGCCAAATCATGAGTGAACTCCCATTCACAATTGCTTCAAAGAGAATAAAATACCTAGGAATCCAACTTACAAGGGATGTGAAGGACCTCTTCAAGGAGAACTACAAACCACTGCTCAAGGAAATAAAAGAGGACACAAACAAATGGAAGAACATTCCATGCTCATGGGTAGGAAGAATCAATATCGTGAAAATGGCCATACTGCCCAAGGTAATTTACAGATTCAATGCCATCCCCATCAAGCTACCAATGACTTTCTTCACAGAATTGGAAAAAACTACTTTAAAGTTCATATGGAACCAAAAAAGAGCCCGCATCGCCAAGTCAATCCTAAGCCAAAAGAACAAAGCTGGAGGCATCACACTACCTGACTTCAAACTATACTACAAGGCTACAGTAACCAAAACAGCATGGTACTGGTACCAAAACAGAGATATAGATCAATGGAACAGAACAGAGCCCTCAGAAATAATGCCGCATATCTACAACTATCTGATCTTTGACAAAGCTGAGAAAAACAAGCAATGGGGAAAGGATTCCCTATTTAATAAATGGTGCTGGGAAAACTGGCTAGCCATATGTAGAAAGCTGAAACTGGATCCCTTCCTTACACCTTATACAAAAATCGATTCAAGATGGATTAAAGATTTAAACGTTAGACCTAAAACCATAAAAACCCTAGAAGAAAACCTAGGCATTACCATTCAGGACATAGGCGTGGGCAAGGACTTCATGTCCAAAACACCAAAAGCAATGGCAACAAAAGCCAAAATTGACAAATGGGATCTAATTAAACTAAAGAGCTTCTGCACAGCAAAAGAAACTACCATCAGAGTGGACAGGCAACCTACAACATGGGAGAAAATTTTCGCAACCTACTCATCTGACAAAGGGCTAATATCCAGAATCTACAATGAATTATACCCTTTCTTATCAGCTAAGCACAGCCACTAGGGCTGTAAGTCAAAGTTTAAAGTCCTGAAATAGTCGCAGCGCATTGTGGGCTGCAATAAAATGCAGCAGGAAAACCCTAAAGAACACACTGGAAGCCTTAACCCAACTACCAATAGGTGACGTTCGGGAAGATTGTAACCTCACAGTATTCAGCCAGTGAGGAACTGGGGAGGGAAATAAATTGCTTGTTGTAACCATCCCAGGTGTGCCTGCGTGCCAGACGCCGATCTTGCAAGACTGCCATTAAAAGTCTTGCTTCTGCTGTTCTCCGGGTCCCTGAGTCTATTCTTTGGGTTTGGATGGGTAAGGGTATTTTTCACAGATTGGCTACAACTTTGCTTGATACAAGAATAGGTTATAGTCTTTACACATTTCGTTAGGTTACAGTTCACTACTAAAGAGAAACTTTTATACTGAACTGAAGATACGTAAGGAGGCAGCTTTAGGCTAAACTTAATTTATCAAAAGTTAGAAGGTTGAACGCTGAAAGACTTTAATGGAAATTGGATGTTAATGCCTGACCACAGTGCCTTCATAGAAAGCTTTGCTATAGCTGCAGAGACAAATGGGTACAGCGAGGTAAGGAGCAGCATTTGTTGTTTTTGTTGATTTTGTTTTTATTTTTCCATAGGTTATTGGGGTACAGGTGGTATTTGCTTACACGAATAAGTTCTTTGGTGGTGATTTGTGAGATCTTGGTGCACCCATCATCCAAGCAGTATACAGTGCACCCTATTTGTAGTCTTTTATCCCACAAGTCCCCAAAGTCCATTGTATCATTCTTATGCCTTCGCATCCTTGTAGCTTAGCTCCCATATATCAGTGAGAACGTATGATGTTTGGAGCAGCATTTTTAATGGAAAAAGAAAAAGAATTATAAACAGAACTGAACAGGTAAAAATATTTTCTTGATTTCATGCTATACAAATCATACTGGATCACAGCATGCTTATTATCAGATGAGTGATCATCTTATAATAAACTTTGTGGCCAATAAATCTGTTAAAATTTGCAAGTACCTATTGTCTAGTACACATTCAGATCCCATCATATCATTCCCTATCTTAAACGTTCAAATGTCTTTATCCTTTGGATAAAGTCCATATTCATACTGCTTGGCAATGGGAATAGCCCTGCATGATCTAGTACCTGCTGTCTTCTCCAGGGACTTTCCTGTTGTGCGATGTTCTATTGTGCCTTCGTGTCTTTGCATGTGATGTACATTCTACCAGGAATGCTTTTTTTTTTTTAATCAAATCTAACTATGGCTATCTTCCCATGGAATTAGGGCTGCATTAGTACTGTTTACACTGTGTGTCAATTGTGCCCTTCATCTCACATCTTTGCAGATTGGGGAAGGCGGTGTAAGATAGAGTAGCCCACGTGCAACTCCAAAGACCATGTGTAGGCAGAGGGAAGCTTCAGAGAACATTTAATACCCATTTCCTTTTGGCTGTCCCTTTCCAGGAAGCCAAGGAGATGGCAGGAAAAACTGAGCCTCAGAAACTGCACCCTGCCCTCTCCTTCTTTTGTCAATACAGAGGGACTGCAAGAGTCTCTGCTCATCTCCAAATGGCTGGGATGGTCCTTGTTCCTGTTTTCGACTGACTACTCAAAAAAACGTTTTCCCAGGGATAGGCAGAAAAGTCCTCAAAGCATATTTGGATTCCAGGGTCTGGTCCTCAACAATTACTTATGGTTGGGCTGGCCTCTGTGAAGATTCAAAGTGGAAGCAAACACTACTCTTCCCTATCCTATGGCAGCATTTCCATTTTCTGTGGCTGTGAGATCAGATTGTAGGATGAGGTCCAGGCAGTGAGTCCTTTCCTAGCAGGCCTTTTTAATACTCCACTCAGTTTCCACAGCAATTTGTTCTAGTCATTCAGCAGAAATGTATTCAGCACCTAATACATGTCAGGCACAATCCTGGTGCTGATGACATGGTGATGATCAATACCTGCCATCGAGTTTAAACTGCACAGGCATAGTCATCACAAGCTTTGAATCAGTGCCAAATTTCCAGCACGGGGAGGTGTTTCCAATCCCATACCATACAGCATCAAGTAGTTTTTCCTTCCTTTATAGTTCCCATGTGTGAGTGTGCAAAACACTGTTAGACATGGTAGATACATTAGTAGGTGTGGTAGATACATCATTATTTAGTGGAAACACCAATTTTATGAGCTAAGTATTATTAAACCTGATTTAAAGACAGGAAACAGGCCTAATGGGAGAAATCGGGTAACTTACGTACAACCTGAAACATGGCTGGTGATCTCTCCACTACTCAGGGTTGCCCAGTCTATGAACCTATGAATAAGCAAAGGATTGATAAAGACAAATTGGATGAAATTGTTGTAAATAATAGTGTGGTATATTTTAAATGTATACTTGTATACATATATTTATGCATATGCAATATACTGTGTGTATATGTACATATACTTATGCACACACAATATACTGTACCTATATGTGTATATGAGTATGTGTGAGTGTGCATATGTATATGTCTTCTCAACCAAAATATTATTACCCATGTTATATGGTGTGATATGATTTGGATTTCTGTCCCCACTTAAATCTCATGTTGAATTGTCATCTCCAATCCAGTGTCGGACTTGGGGCCTGGTGGAAGTTGACTGGATCATGGAGGCAGATTTCCCCATTGGTGCTGTTCCCATGATAGTGAGTAAGTTCTCACATAAGAGCTGGTTGTTTAAAAGTGTGTAACACCTTCCCCCCACTTCCTCCTGTTTCAGCCATGTAAGACGCCTGCTCCCACTTTGCCTTCCACCATGAGTCAAAGTTTCCTAAGTCTTCCCCAGAAGCCGCCATGCTTCCTGTACAGCCTGAAGAACCATTAGCCAATTAAATCTCTTTTCTTTATAAATTACCCAGTCTCAGGTATTTCTTTATAGCAATGCAAGAACGGACTAATATGCCATGCTAAAGGTTCATAGCTCTGTGGGAAGGGCACTCAGCCACAATATTCAAAAATAAAATGTTCCCAAACTCAGGGATGCTACATCGATAGAGTTGAATTAAAAAAGGATTTTCATACACACCAGGGTTCAGATCGCAGCTTGGGCTCTCAGGTAGATAAATTAGAATCTTCATCTGTATGATGAATATGGCAAATCATCATAGAGATGTTGTAAAAATTGAAATGCATGTAAATTTACTAGCACAAAATCAATAATAATAGTGATCTTTTGAGTGCTGTTTATATATAATTCAAAGATTAGATATTCTACATATTTTTAAAAAATCGAATTATGTTCCTGGATATATGTGATAATTATCCATGTCCAGAGGAGTATTGGTCATCTGGGTCTGTGTTTCATAACCACCCCTTATCCCAAATTACAGTAATAGTGTCAGGGAAGTACCAATTTAAGCTATTTATTAAGCTATTGGCAAAGGCCTCAAAACAAGTAACCCTCAATCCCAAAAAAAAAAAAAAAAAAAAAAAAAAAAAATAGACCTTCCAGTGTCTAAAAACTCAATAGTATGAAAGAGAGTAAAGTGGATGGAGAAGTTGTTTGAGAATTTACTTAGCAGGTAATCTGAGTTATCATAGGTTGGATGCCCAGAAACACAACTGAAATATGGATTTTAGTTCAAGTAGTTTATTTGGGAGATGACTGCAAGATGAAATAGTTGGGGAGTTAGGAAGAAGGAAAAGAAAGGAAAGGAAAGGAGAAGGGAGGGGGAGAGAGGGGAAGGGAAGGGAACCAATAAAGGAGTCAGTTTATCCCCATGGGCAACTGGGTCTCAATTCCTTTAAAGATCTCTTGGAGGAAGTAAAACATACCTGAGAGTTGTACTACATGAGGAGTAAGAAAGTGAACATCTTCAAGTAGGTTACCACTATGAGCAACTAGAACTCAGTTCCATTAGAGATTTCAAGGAGGGAGTAGAACATACCTCAGTTATACCACCCAAGGAGTAAGGAAGTTGAGTAATAATCCTCCAACTTCCATTTTCACTGGCTAAGGGATGCTCCAGGACTATTAACTCCCTGGCATTCCTGGTTTGCCACACAAGGGAAAACTTTCAGATAAGAGACACAGGCTTGCAGTAAGACATGGCACCAACAACATCTGGTATACATCTTATTTATGGAGAAATCGAGAATCTTAGGTTTATAGATGATCCCCCCATCTCTAAACATATCTACGCCCATTCTTGTCTTTTTTTCTGTATATAGAGTCGGGTATCTCTCCTGTCCAAGATAACCTCTCCACCTGTTCTCTGAACACCATACCTTCCCATATCTTCTAGGACCCCATCCCCTCAATATACATCTCATTTGTATCTTTAGCCTCTTGTTCTTCACTAAATCTGTCCCCTTAGCAAAATCAGAGTGCCTGTCTATCTGCTACCTTTATCTCTATGACCTTTTACAACCACTCTGAACCAAATAATACACTTCCATTTTGTCAAGTTATTCTCGTTAAGATGACCAATAGCATGTTGCCTAGTTAGCAGATGAGGGAGAAACTAGACCAGGTTCTGTCATTGGGAAGCAAAGTACCATAGGAGCAATTGAAGGTGCTGAACTGGGGAAGGACTCCCTCTTATTTAGGCATCCAAGCGCAAATGGTTTTGCATGCACGATAGCAAGATCTTGATTTGTAGAGCCAGGGATTCACCTTACAGGGCAGGAAAGTCTTCTTCCTTAAGTCAAATGGTAAGAGTGGAATAATTCTACCTGGGCTGGAGTGAATTAAATTCAAAGTAAGTACAGATCTGTAAAGAATATTTTAGGCCTTTGGGTTGTTACAGCCATGAATTAGTAAACTGTATTATATATGTTTCTCTGGATTTCTTAAATTCTGTTTTAAGCTGTATCATAATCGAGAGATGACTAACTTTCAGTAAACTGCATGTCTTATCTATAGTCTTTCCCTGGGAACCAACTACATTTGGCAAATTATCTCATTTCATTTATTGGTTAAACTTTGATCAAAGTTGTAGATTTAAGAGCTCTGGAACATGGGTCCAAGCACAGCAAATATCATCATAAGCAGATAAAGAAGAAGTTTCATTTTCAACCAATGTGGGAGGCAGGGGGACAGGAGGCGGGAATAAAATAATCACAAATCCTAAGGCCAATAAAGAATGAAAGGAAACCTATAACAAGAATGGCGTTGCTTTCTTAATCAGATTGGCATGGAAATAGCAGTGTCAGATGCATCATTTTAGTCAACAGATAAAAGAATGACAGAGTGCCTTGATGAAGAGTTACAGAGGTATCTACAAGACAGTTTTAGCTTTAGAAGTGGAAACAAATTAAGAGTGTATCAGAAATTGAAGGAAAAAAAATTTCCTTAGGAGTTGAGTTGAAAAATAAAATTAGGGTGAGTTGAAAAAGAAAATTAGGTGTCTTCTGCTAGATCAGAAGACATTCTGATCTAGCAAATATGTGGCTATTATAAGTGGTAGAGAAAAATGGAGCTAATGCGTTTACAAAAAAAATGATGGACCTACTTGTACTGACAGGGAAAAAAAGAGGGAAATAGAGTATTAAAGGAAGTTAAAGTCATAGTTTACTACTTAGTAAAAGAGGTAACAACATTTATAGAAATTCTGGAGAATATAAAGTCTAAGTGAGGAGAAGCAAAAATCTGGGAAGATGTGTATATCCAAGAATAGGTCTCTGGGTCTCTGAAGGCTTGGGCTCTGGAATAAAACAGAAGCTTAGGTTCAGGAACCAGATGATCATGATTTTATAGCTCTCATGAATGTGGCCAGCAATAGTAAACCTCCCGTGGACAGCCAGACTCACAGACCTAAGGAAATCCAGCACAGGAAGAAGGCACTTTGGTGAAGAGCTAAAGAGTCCTTAGAAATTTGTGATAGATGCCATGAAATACAAAGAAAAGAGAGGTACTAAGAACTGTGGAAAATGTCAGGCCTTAAACTTTTTTTGAAATGTATTTTTGCTCAATAGAATGCATCTTGTTTGACATGGTGTGAATATATTTGTCCCTCTAAACTTTATATATTGGAACTTAGTGTGATCGTATTAAGTAATAGAGCCTTTAGGAAGTGATTAAGCCAGGAGGGCTCTGCCCTCATGAATGCGATTAGCAAGCTTATAAAAGGGCTGGAAGGGATGCATTAAGCCCTCTTGCCCTTCTGCATTTTCTGCCATGTGAAGACGAAGACACAGCATTCATCCTCTCTGTAGGGCACAGAGTTTAAGGTCCCATCTTGGAAGCAGGTACCAGGCCCTCACCAGACACCTAACCTGCCAGTGACTTGGTCTTAGGCTTCCCAGTCTCCAGAACTGTGAGAAATACATTTCTATTCTTTATCAATTACTCAGTCTCAGGTATTTTGTTATAACAGCATAAATTGACCAAGACACTGCCCAAAAGAATGTAGCTGTTTCTCCCTAAAGAATACTCTCAATGCTGCACTGGGGTGCTTGGAACAAAATGGACAAAGAGGAGATGGAAAAGGAAGTGTGGAGGTTTTGTAATATGCATAATACTTAAGGGAAGAATGGCATATTGCAAATTTTAATTTGAGAAAACAGAAGTGTTTCATACACCATTTCCTTCAAATAAAAAATTATTTAAATAGGTGGATTTTTTTCTCACATTGTAAGGAAATCATAGTTTCACTCTTCTTTTTATGTATTTATTTATTTATTTTTAATTTTATTATTATTACACTTTAAGTTTTAGGGTACATGTGCACAATGTGCAGGTTTGTTACATATGTATACATGTGCCATATTGGTGTGCTGCACCCATCACCTCGTCATTTAACATTAGGTATATCCTGAGTTAATTTCCGGGCTCTAGACACCAAACGATAGACACCAACTGACAAATAAAACAGTTCTGAAAACCTGAAACCATCAATCCTGTTTTTTCCCCTTGTGTTTCCTTTCTGGTCTCTCCCCAGAGAGCATTATAATTCTCTTTAAGGACTGTGGCCAGTGATGGCAATGTGGATCTAAATTTCTCTTTGACTAGGGAATGAGCTATTATACTATGTGGTAGCCATGTTTTGTTCTGAGGACTTACTTGTGTTTTCCAAGTTTTTGTGAATGTAGAGCTTGTGCTTGTGGTGGGTATTTGTCATTCACTGTAGCTGGCACTTGAGTGCTCTTCCTATGTTTGACCAATTTTCCTTTTCTTGGGGCGTCTACTTCTCCCAAAGAAAAGCCATAGAAGTCACCTTCCTACCTAATTAATCAGCTTTCATACCATGACAGAAAATCCAAAATCTCAGGGGCATACAACAAATGTTTTCACTCACACGTCATGTCCTTGGCTGCAGATAGGTTGCTAGGATCCCAGTCCACATGTCTTTGCATCCAGGACTCAAGCTGAAGCAGGAGCCCCTCTTTGTGATATGCCTTTATTGTGACAATGAGAAAACAACAAAAGGTGGTACAAACATGAAATGTCTCTTAGAGCTTCTCTATGGAACTGAAACACTTCCCTCCATTCCTATTTCAACGACCCAAGATGGTCATATAGCCAAGTCTCATAATGTCCTAGAAAGCATTCTCCAGCTATCGGGAAGCACTGTGAGTCATGAGGCAATGGATGAGATTGTATGTCCCCCTCACAAAAAGGGAGAAAATAGATGGGAATAATCACCCACCATGGGAGAAGGCATTTTGTCTAAGTGCTGTCAATCATGCACACCTCCAGGAAGCCAATTCAGAAGCTAGGAAAATAAAAGCAAAATGCCACATTGAATCATTCTGGTGAAGAGTGCTGACAGAAGAGTAAATCTTCCAGAGATATCAGAGGCAGAGATTCTAGTGTCAGTCTCTGCACCCAGGTTTAGGAGTGAGATCCTAGTTGACTATGCTCAATGGAGCCAGTAGTGGTAGTTCCATCAGAGTGGACCTATGGGGTAATTTGATGATGTTCCTGCATACATCATCAATGGACTACCAAATGTTCTTTAATAAGTCCTTTTTATGCTTAAAATAGGTTTCTGGCATTTTCAACTCTTGTTTTTAGTAGGCATTTTGATTGACTGGCTCTTCTCTCAGTTGTCTGCTATTCACGTGGCAATGAGTTAGGCCAAATCCCTACAAACACATTTTACACTCTGATAAGAAGACTATATAATTTAGTATTTTCCACTATAGAGAATATGCCTTCTCTTCCAGTACCTTCTGAACAATTATATAATGCAATTATATAGTTGGCCACAAAACAGTTTCCCAAATGATAAGTTATAATGGCATTTTTTAAACTCTTATTGCATTGTGGTTATAAAATGCTAACAAACCTAAATAAATTATATATATAGAGAGAGAATTTCAATTTAATTAAGTAATTTCAAGAGAAAAGCAAATTTGAAACTGTGCTTAATAATTTTTTTAATAACAAATGATAACGAAAGCACCAAGATGATTTATGGTATATAGCCTGACTTATATTTAGGGAAAACTTTACACTCCTCAATCAATGCAAGAAGCAAGAAAAATAAGACAATAAATATAAGTAAAATAAATCAAGAAAAAATAATAAAGATAAAATCAGAAAAAAATTGAAATAACAAATTAACAGGTTCTTTGAAAGGAACAATCAATTAGACAGATCTTTGGAAAGAAAGATATGTCACTCAGAAAAAAAAACATAAAGTAGTGGTAAATATATAATATCAGGGATTAGAATCAAGAAAAAAACTCAAAGTAATGGCAAATAAAAATAAAAATAATTATTTGTGTAATTGTTCATAACCATGGAGACACTGATACTTTGAGAATAGTAACTTACTGAAACAGATTCGACATTTAAAGAACTTGAATTAGACATCAAATACAAGGACATATAAAGCTACTTCTTCTTGTTTTAATCTAATGCAACTCTGATATCAAAACTAATAACAGCATTTGGCTTGTTCTGCTTCCCACTGTACAAAAGTCTTACTGTTAGTTGTGTGTCACTATTAACAATTGCTATTGTAATATACATCTATATTCTGATATATACCTTTTTATTTAGTTATTTATGTCTCTCTGTCTCATGCACACACACACACACACACACACACACATATGCTGCCATTTTCCTGTCCATGGCATCTCACACTGAAACTGCCCCACCACATCCTTGCTAGATCTTCCTATTACTGTTCCTTTCGTCTGCTTCTGAAATTGTTCTCTCTTTTCTACTTCCTGCTTCTTAATTTTTTGGAACACTTAAACTCTAATATAAAATCTAGGTGACAGCCTCAACCCAGAAGCACTTTCAGAAAGGCTCTCCACCACCTGTAGACAGAATTCTATGTTTTAATTTCTAGACTCACTTCCCCTTCCATCCCTGACCTCCTTCCTCTGCCAAAGTGAAAGTGGTAACGAAGTCCTGCAGATTTTCCCCTCTAGGCAGGAATTTCCTCTCTCTTAGCCAAGGCTAGCACTGAGTAGATAGGGACGGGAGGCCCTAATCTCCTACTTGGACTCCTGGGAGATGTCAGTTTTGCCTTCTGGAAACTGAAAACAATCTGGAATAGAGGAAACAGGAGGTATTAACTCCATCATAAGAGGTCCAGTAGGAGACTTTCAAGGTGGAGCGGGGTATCTACTCATGGTCTAGGCTATACTCCTACCCTCCTCCTTCCACCCCTAGCAGGTTCTCCTGCTGACTGACACACCACTAACACAGACAGCTATTTCTTCCCCTTTAAAGCCTTCAAGACTAAGATTATATTCTCATCAAGCCTAAGATTATACAAAACTAACTGAGGGTGTGGCTCATGCTTCCTCAGAAAGAGTAAGAGAAGAAAATAAATTAGGGGTCTCTAAGCAAGCATGTTGTATGACATGCAATAAGGTCAGTCTCTGGTCTCTTTCCAGAAAACCAGGCCTCAGATTTGTACTAACCCCCTAACTCTTCCTTAGTCCTACTTCTTCAGTGCCCCAAACAGTTCTCAGTTCTTGCTTCTCCTTTGATGCTACTCCTCCCCTAGAGCACAGATGGACACCATCCTACAGTTAGCCACTCATCTTGTTGTCCTGGTCTATCCTGGATTCAGGGCAGAGGGTTGGGGTCTGCAGCTACAGCTGTGGAATTTGTCCACGACAGAGCCTCACCTGGACACACCTGTCTCACAGCAAACAAATAAAGAAACAAACAAAACATTCTGAAGACATCTGTAAAGGAAAGCTTCTATGCCTTGGAAGTAAACTGGTCTGTCTTCAAAAGCCCTCTCTCCAGCCTTCCCCACATGAACGCAAGCCCCCACCCCCAGCTACCCTGATTGCCAGGGTTCTTGACAGTCCGTCATAGTTACAAATTGCACCTTACACATGAAAATGATCTCCCCATTAACTGTTTTAACTTCACAGAGATTCCAGAGCAGTACAACCAACTTGACCTTCAGCTCCTTAAAGGCAGAGACTATATGTCCCATAGTTGTAATCCCAGCACCCAGTAAAATATTGTCAAGAAAATTGATGTTAAATAAATGTTTAAAATGGCTTATTTCAATTAATCCATTCATTATTCTATTAGAGCAGCCATTTCTCCAAAACTGGGTGAGACAGAGGGTACAGCTCAGACCTAAGATACTTTTGTTTTTTCTCATAGACCTATTTGTTGCAGGAAATTTCTGGGCCTCACCCTTCAGAATTTTAACCATGGCCGGGGCTCAGACACTGGCATGAGCATTCTGGAGTATCTGTCCTAACAATTAAGATATTATATAATTTGGAACCGAGCTTCAATTGGAAGATTTCCTGGTTATTTTCTATGCGGATAGGAGGTGCCTTCACTTGCTTATTAAAACCTAAGTGTCAAGAGAAGGACAAGGCCCTGGGAGTACAAAGAAAAACCCATATCACTGTCTTAAGTAACAGTTTTTGTGTGTGCGTGCATGTGTCTATGTGTTTGGGTGAGGAAGGGATACCAGTTGTTTAATTTTTTTTTCCTTTTTTAATGACAATTTTTGACCAGGGTTTCCATTTCTCCATCAACTCCCGGTCTCTGTTGTCTGTTTTTCACTCTAAAAGTGGATTGTGGCAATAGTGATGACAAGCTGGTTGCTGAAGTAAAAACGAAAAAAGAGAGGGTTTTGTTTTGTTTTGTTTTGTTTTGTTTAAGAACCCAGTATTTAAAGCCTGGAACCATGAGAGGTCGCGAATCTTGCCAGGAACAGCAGAGTCCACACCATATGTGCGCCCAACCCTTTGCTAAGATGGGTCACAGAACCAGACTTGGCCAATCTCAGGCTTCTGAGTTTAACAAGTCAAACTGGCAAATGAATAGCCACCTGAGCCTCTCTTAATGCAGTGCCTGAGCGGCATCATTTGGGAGCCTCAATCCTTTGACCTATCCTAGAACTAACTCCTAGAACCCTCTACAGTTTAAGGGAATCTGAGTCGGTGAAGGGACCAGAAAAACCCAGGAAGTAGAGAAAAAACATTGACATGCCTAGAAGCGCCGAAACCCCCGTCTCATCACCAATTGGCTAGGGGTACCCTGGTCCCTGCCTGTGATTGGCTGCCCCCACAAACACACCGCCCCCTGGGCGAAGCCAACCTGGGCCCAGCCGGCCGCTCATTGGCTGCCGTCCCGCGAGCGGGGCCTAGAGCCGGGTGTAGTATTCTGGGAGCTGCGGGCTACTGGGCCTGCGCTGCCGGGCTTTGGGTTCTGGGCCTCTGCCGCTCTCTGGCCCTAAGTGCTGAGCTGCCGGGAACGGCAGCTTCTGACGCTGGGCCATTGGACGCTGCGGAACCAGGCTTCTTCACTTTGAGTTTCCGCCGCGAAGCGCCAGTCCGGGCCGAGGAGGGAGGTGGGTAGATAACTCTGCCTTTTCTGAAGTCAGATCCCGCACGCTCACTTTACCCCCACCCGCCCGCTGTCCTGGGGACCTGCCCAACGCCCTGTGGCCAGGCCAGGAGCTGCTCCCTGACTCCGGAGGTTACCGCCCGCCCCTCGACTCCCTTCCCGCTGGGGTCCTAACTGGAAGTCTTCCAGGCCCCGCCCCCTTCTCAAATGCCCTTCTCAGACTCTCGCTGTACCCTACGGAAGGCACAGTCAAAGCAACCGAACGTTTAATTATTTGAATTTTCTCAAAGTAATTCATGTATAATAAAAAGTCAAACATTAAAGCAGGTCTTATTTTGAAGAGCAGTAACTACCCATCCCCAGATCTTTGCAGAGGCTGCCACTTTTAGTTTGTCCCCATTTAGATGTTTTTAGCACCCTAAATCAAAATAATATGCGTTCCACTGTATTTCTGGATTTATCATTTTGATATTTCTTTGCCTTACTTTCTTACTGCCACAATCTTGTCAATTTTCCATCGCTATTTTAGGTCTTCCATTTGTAGCTTTAAATAATGGGTATCAACTTCCATTTATTGTTTTATTGACTTTAGATGGTGTCTCTTAATGTCTCTACTGACTTAGCTAAGGATATTAACACATCCTCCACTTTCAATCTACTATCGGTTGGAACTCAACATTTACATTTAGTTTTCACGTATTCAACAAGTATTTGAGGCACTGTTCTTGGCACTGGGGAAATAGAAATGGACAAAACAGACAATGACCCTATCCACATGAAAAAGTTCTAGTATGGGAAGTAAGACAATAGACGAATACATGGCAAATGACGTCAAAGGCAGGATCATGTAGAAGTCATTTTCAGCTGGGAGAATAGCAGGCACCCAAGTCAGGTAGATTGAATGGACGAGGGGTTTGCGGGAGTGTGTGGAAGTTTATTCCTTTGCCTAGCTGGGCACAGGTGCTGTTTCAAGGAGAGATCTTGTTAACCGGGAGCCAGGATAGATTATTTAGTAAGTTAGTGATTTACCAAAATGAGGTTTTAGGATACTGGATCCCACAGTTTGGTAGTGATAGTGGGAGGAAGAAAAGCAGGAGGCAGGGAGTCTAGTGAGAAGGCATGCCCTGCCAATGGCATATCAGAGTCCTGCAAGATTTACTGCTCTGCTTCCTGCTTCCTGCTACTGGACTGCGCTAAACCACAGTGATTTTTCTCTCCTCTTGAATTTGTATTATACCTTAAAGCTAAAGAGGTTAAGAAATTTGCCCAAGATAGATGGCAGAGCCCCAAGCCAAACATCTGTAAAATGAGAACAATAATGGCCTCTGCCTAGGGTTGTGAAATAAACCAACTTAATTCATGTAAAGTGCTCAGAACAGTGCCTGGCACATCATAGAACTGCTCAAAGAGTGCTTGCTTTTATTATTAATGTATGCTCTCAATTTACCTCACAAATGCTAAAAGGATTTTGGGTTTAGGAACTATTTCCTATGTCTAGCTGGTTAATTCATTCAACAAATATTTACTCAGCAATATCTGCATTGCAGGTGCTGTTTAGGTGCTGAGGATACAACAGGAACTAGGATCAACATGTCCCTTCCTTGTATAGATTCTAGCTGGTAACACAAACTAGCAAAGTGAATGAATAAATATTGCCAACTGAGCCAAGAGCCTGCCATTGACCAAGTTCCATGCCCATATGTGGCCCTGGCAAAAATCTCAGATTTCTTGCTGGTGTAGTGATTTCATCAATATGGGTGTGATGATCATCAAATGATCTTTGTTTTAATCTCCAAGGGATGTTATTTCATCTCTGCTTCTAGCATATCACTAAAAGCTCAGAAGACTACCTTGACATCTTGGTGAATAATAAGTACATTAGTGCTGGAGCAGTGGGCAGGGGTTTAAAAGGCACAGGAAAAGAACTGCTGTTTCCTTTACAGTTTTTGCATTTTAGTGTGCAACACAAGAAAACAAATTGAGCTTGTAGGCAATGGGCTTCTGGCATACTACCTTTTGACACTTTGAATTATATTAATGTAAATATAAACATACCAGAGAGTGAGGCTGGAGGTATTTATGGCCTTACTTCAGATACTGAAATACCACATTTTATGTGAACTTACCCAAGTTTAAGAGAAATAATGCTGATTTGTAGAGCATGATTGGAGTGGTAATGGTCAAGTAGAGCAAACCCAGAGGAAAATCAGAGTTGACCAAGTGAATGAAAACCGAGGACTCCCAATATTCACTCACTTAGGCATCCCCATTATCCCCTTCATGGTATGAGTAATGTGGCCCGTTCAGACCATGCACCCTTCAGTTGGAAAGGCCAATGCTTATTAAAGAAGGTCAGTAAAGGGTCAAAAGGAAGGTGGTTTTCCCCCAGAAATTAATTATTCCTGTTACTGATCTCTCTGTTCCTCTGTTACCTTTTTCTCTTATTTGTCTTTCTTTTCTTCTTCTCAGCCTTTACTACTTCTCCCTGGTTTCATTCATGTTCTGAGGAGGGTGTGAGAAGGAACCATGGATCCCACAGCCTTGGTGGAAGCCATTGTGGAAGAAGTGGCCTGTCC